>NT_187656.1:0-106711 GCF_000001405.40 Homo sapiens | reverse complement strand
TCAGGTGCAGCAGGGTTCCCCCCAAGCTGGGTCAGCACTGGGCTCCCCGGAAGGGGCAGAGCAGGTGCCCCAGGGCCCCCGACCTCCCCCAACAGGTCCATCCCGGCCACCAGGCGTGTGGCTGACAGTGCCACGTTGACCCAGCAGCGGGGAGGGCCCGGGCCAGGATGGCCCCCATGCAGGGGGTGTTTGCAGGACCTTTGGGGGCGTGCGTGCGTCAGCCCCCCGCTGGGAATGGGTGATAATGGGGCCGCTGCCTGCAGGATTTTCCAAAGAAAGCCGAGTCCTGATAAAGCAGGCCCAGATCCTGTTTGGCCACCGCGGCGCCCGCCGGCAGTGGTGATTAAGGGGCTGGACCGCGGGGCGCAGGCAGGTGCGGCGGGGGAGGGCCCGCCAGCCTATATAAGGCACCCAGGACCGGCCGTTGGAGCCGCATGGATGGCAGCAGCAGGCCTGCCGGGCCCAGCGCGAGCTCCTCTCCACTGTGCACCATGGTCCAGCGGTGGCTGCTGCTGTCCTGCTGCGGAGCCCTGCTCAGCGCTGGTGAGTGAGGTCGAGGGGCGCCAGACACTGCGGTGCCCTCAGAGGGGCCCTGTGTGCGGGGGTCTCTGGGCCTTCTCGCCTCGACAACTCGGCTGGCCCACATGGACGCTGATGGACGGGAGGCCCCAGCTCGGCTCCGTGACCAGCCCCCGCTGCCAGGCCCGGGTCCCCCCAGCAGCCGCGGTGCTGGGCTCTGCCAATTGGGGTCAGGGACCCCATGGGGCCTGGGCAGGGACGCCCTCCTGTGAGCTGGCACAGCAGCCAGCGGGGGAGGACGCTCAGCTGGAGTGGGGTCCGGCACTCCCGCGGGAACAGTGGGCAGGTGTGCTGGTGCCCAGCCCTGGCGCTCTCCCTCCCCGAGTGGGGTCCTGAGTCCTGAGAGGTCTCTGGAGTGTGGGGGACAGAGGCACAGTCTCTGCTGGGCCCTGGGCCTCGTTTCCTAGTCTACAGAAGTGGGGGACGCTGCCTCCCCTGGTGTGGCCGCCGTGGGGGGAAGAGGGGGGAAGGTGTACGGCCATCCTGGGCTCAGAACCGCCGCAGGCAGCCTGCCCTCTCCCCCGCGCTCCCCTACCCAGCTCGGGCAGGATCCAGGAGGGACTGACATCCTGGATCCTCTGCCAACCGCCTGCCCTGCGGCTGCTGCAGGTGACCATCAGTCCCTCCCCAGGCCCCCAGAAGGAGCCAGCCCCAAGGGGTCCCTCTGTGGCCGCAGCCTGAGACCTGGGGAGACCCCTCTTGCCGACCAAGGCACCAGCCCAAGGGCCTCTGTGTTCCGTGCTCCTCCTTCCTCTCCAAGCTGGCCCGACCCTCCTCCACAGCCGGGAGCCCCCTGGGGTGGACGCTGGCGTGACAGAGCTCGCCCTCGGAGCTGCTGCCAACCTGGGCGCCTCGGGCTCAGAGCACAGTGGGACCCCCCCAGGGGTGTCCCACTGTAGGGCGACCCAAGCCCACCCCACCCCTTCTCTCCTTTGAAGCCCCTTCCCCACCACGCCGGGCACCACCCTTCAACCGTGGGAGATGTGGGGGTCTCTGAGCTCGCTCCCCACCACGCCGGGCACCACCCTTCAACTGTAGGAGATATGGGGGTCTCTGAGCCCGCTCCCTACCACGCCGGGCACCACCCTTCAACCGTGGGAGATGTGGGGGTCTCTGAGCCCTCCCAGCGGTGCCCTCTGCTTGGGACCCCAGCCCCTACCTGCACACCTGGCACAGCTTGGGGACAAGTGCCAGGAAGTGGGGCTAAACTTGCAGCAGAGTGCGACCCCTAGTCCCTCGGGCCACCACCCTGGAGCCAGGGAGGGAGGTGTGGTGAGGCCCAGAGAGGCTGGAGGTCTGGGCTGTGGGCAGTGCAGAGGGTGGAGGGCCAAGTGGGGGTGTCCACCCGTCACCCCAGCAAATAATCTCTGAGCGCCATCTCTGCCAACATGGGAGGGGCCTCAGCCAGCAGAGTGTGGGGTCGGACAGACGGGCTGCAGGCCTGGGCCGCGGTGGGCCGGGAGGCAGGGGTGGGCGGCCGCCAAGCGTGCAGAAGGAACAGTGCGCACCTGCCGCCTCGTGCTCGTCCAGGGGCTGAGAGGCCGGGGGTGGCGGACCAACCCGCCCAGATGCCCATGCGCCTGGCCAAGGGATCAGCCGAGGGGAAGCACAGCCAGTCTGGGCAGGAACGCAGGAGTCTCCCGCTGGACTTCAGAGCTGGAGGCAGCCGACTTGGAGCCAGTGGACTCGGGGAACCTCCTGCGGGTGGGGCAGGGCGAGGGCGGCGGGGGGCGCAGGGGGTGCAGCAATGAGGCACCCACCCGGGGCAGTGAAGCCAGCCTGGCAGGGCTGAGGGCACCGAAACACAGGCCCGAGGTGTCTGTGCTACAGCGGGGACGGCCCCCAAGTGCCACCCCCCATCGGAAAGGTGGAGAAACTGAGTTGCAGGGGGCATTGCCCAGGGGAGACCGGTCACAGCTCTGCAGCCTCCAGAGGTGCTGGCCCAGGGGCAGGCAGCCAACTGCTCCTCCCGCTCAGAGCTCTCCCACCCCTCCCCCACCAGAGGCCAGCGAGGGCCCCATCCCAGGAACCACTGAGTTCCATGGCTGAGGGTTCGGTGTGCTGCGCACTCCTGCAGCAGGTGCTCTGAGCCCTGTGGATCATCCCTGGAAGGAATGGCGGGGGGCTGAGGACCATGACACCTACTGGGACCCCCAGGAGGGGGATGAGTGAGGGGGTAGGTGCTCGCCAGGCTCAGGGCCCAGCATGAGCCACCCCCACACCAGTCTGGAGTAAACTCAGCTTACACTGGGGATAAGCCAGGTGCAACCCATCAGAAAACGATCTCAAGGCCAAAGGGGACCACAGCCAAATATGTGTCCCACATAGCCAAGGTTGGCATTCTTCTTAAATCCAGTCACTCAAATACCCAACCTCCTGCCTGTGCCAGACAGGACTCACCCAGGCGGCCAAGGGGCAGGCAGCCTGGCTCCTCCCTGGACCGCGGTTAACACCATCTCCCAGCTGACAGGCCCCTGCCCCTGCGTCACCGGAGACACAGGTGTCCAGCGGTAATGGGGGCAGCATCAAGTAAGTCCCAGAAAGTGGGCAGAGCCTGGGGTGAGAGCACAGGTGAGGAGTGGCAGGAATGGGATCTCTGAGCTACATCTGGAAGGAGGTGCTGTGAGTGCCCTGCTAACCAATGGGCAGGGGCAAGGAGGGTCCCGGCCCCAAGAAGGGCCTGGAGAGGTCACGGGTCCTGCTCAGGTGCCGCACCACCACTCAGACATCGGGGGCTCGTGGGAGCCACAGGAAGGGTCATAGTCTCGGAGGCAGGGTCCGGGGAGTTACCCAGAGGTGGGAAAAGTCTCCCTCTGGGTACAGGGGGTGGGACGTGGGGGGTGTTGGCCCCACCCCAGCCTCTGGGAGTCAGGGTGGGACGTCCCCCGCTGCCCTGCCCTGGAGTCACCGTGACTGGGCTATCTGGATGTTTCTCTGACAACAGTGGCCTCAGTGCCAGGCCTGACATCAAGGCTGTCTCAAGGCTGACGTGCAGGAAAGCGGCCATGTTTAGAGCCCCGGAGCCACCGAGAGCAGGGAGAACCGGCTGTGGGGCCTTGGCGCAGACCCCTCAGGGAAACCAGGCGGCCAAGCTGGGGAGGCGGGCACAGCCCACTTTGTTGGCTCCGCCGCCAAGCCCCTGCCACCCGCACCAGCCCCTCCTAGCCCCACCCAGAAGCCCCAGGGATGAGTACCCTGCACACAGGGTGCCCGCCATCTGCCGAACCCCGAGGGGCTGACGGCTGAACTGGGACTGAGTGGACAAACGAGGGAGTGAACGAGAGCAGGGAAGGAAGCTGGGGCTCGTGAAGGACAGCATGGGAGGCCGAGCGCTTGGCTTGCTGTTGAGGCCTCGAGCCCCACGGGCCATGGACACTTCTCGCACGCCGAGTGTGTGCAGGGAAACGGGCGGAGCAGCCCTGAGCAGAGGTGAGCGGCGCCCTCAGGGACGACGGGGTAGCCCCACACCGACTGCGGGTCCCGTCCACACAGGTCTGGCTAACACCTCCTACACCAGCCCAGGCCTCCAGAGGCTGAAGGACTCTCCACAGACAGGTAAGAACACAGCGGCCACTGATCCTGCCGCCCAGACCACCCAGGCCCGGTGTGCAGGAGAGAGGGGCCCGGAGCCCAGGTCACCCCCAAGACACACACATCCAACACACATATATGCACCAACATGAACACACATGCACATACACCCAACACACACACATACCCAATATACACATGCACACACACCTGACACACGCATACACATGTACATGACACATGCATGAGCACACGTCACACACACACCCAACACTCTACACAGACACACAACCCAACACACATGCACACACACCCAACACACACAACCTACACACAAACACACCTGACAAACACATGCACACACACCCAACACCCATGCACACACATCCCAGACATGCAAACATGCACACTTACAACACGCACGACTTACACATGTGCACACACCCAACACACACACACCCTACACACACATGCACCCTATGTACACACCCTACACACCTGAGACACGCACCCAACACACACATACACACCCCGAATGCACACACATGCACTCGACACACATGCCCAGCTCACACAAACACACATGTGCATGCAACACAATCACACACACCCAACACACATGCAGGTGTATATCTCACACGCCTACACAGCCCTCCAACACACACACACCCACAATGCACACATGGACACACCTGACACGTATGCACACACCCGAGACACGCACATACGTGCACACACGTGCACACACACAACACACATACGTGTACCCACACACACGTGTGTGCACATGCCCACAGCGGTGCTGACTCCTGGCCAGGCATATACCATAGCACTCAGGTTCATCGGATGTCTGGGGTTTCCACAGCCTGGCCCCAACTCAAAAACCCTGGCCCAGGGAGACGAGTGACCTCTCTGCCTGCCCCAGCCCTGCCTGGCCAGGATGGTGGGGACACAGGGCTGTGTGAGCACTGCTCTCTCTGTAGCCCCGGACAAAGGCCAGTGCTCCACGTGGGGGGCTGGTCACTTCTCCACCTTCGACCACCACGTGTACGACTTCTCGGGGACGTGCAACTACATCTTCGCGGCCACCTGCAAGGACGCCTTCCCCACCTTCAGTGTCCAGCTGCGGCGAGGCCCAGACGGGAGCATCTCGCGGATCATCGTGGAGCTGGGGGCCTCCGTCGTCACTGTGAGCGAAGCCATCATCTCAGTCAAGGACATCGGGTAGGTCAGGTGGGCCGGGGCCCGGGGGCTCGGGGGCCGGAGGACTGAGGATCGACCACCGACTTCCCTTGCCCCACAGGGTCATCAGCCTGCCCTATACCAGCAATGGACTCCAGATCACACCCTTCGGCCAGAGCGTGCGGCTGGTGGCCAAGCAGCTGGAGCTGGAGCTGGAAGTCGTGTGGGGTCCTGACAGCCACCTCATGGTGAGGAGAGAAGGGCCAGGGTGGGCCTGGAGACCCGCAGCACGGGGGGGCAGGTGGGACTTGGGAGGGGCTGCCCTCCTTGGGGGTCCCAGCCAGCCCTCAGGCTGCCATGCAGCCAGGCCCTTCGTGCCAAGCAGTGCTGACCCCTGACCAGCAACATGAGCCAGGACTGGGTTTTGTGGGTGACTCGGCTTCTCCACTGGAAAATTAGGCTCCCATAAGAAGAGGCAGATGAGCAGGTGGGGGGATGGTGGGGGCTCTGGGTCCAGGAGCAGGAACTGAGAGCCCTCCACAGCAGATGAGGGGGCCCCTGGCCCCCGGGCCCCCAGCAGAGCCGTCTCCCGCAGGTTCTGGTGGAGCGGAAGTACATGGGTCAGATGTGCGGGCTCTGCGGGAACTTTGACGGGAAGGTGACCAACGAGTTTGTCAGTGAGGAGGGTAGGTGGGGGCAGGGCTGGGGGGCCTCTGGGGGGGCCTCTAGGTGGGGGGCAGGGCAGGGGGGCCTCTGAGGCCCAGCCCCCACGGTGCTGACCCCCATTCTGCACCCCAGGCAAGTTCCTGGAACCCCACAAGTTTGCTGCCCTCCAGAAGCTGGACGACCCCGGCGAGATCTGCACCTTCCAGGACATCCCCAGCACCCACGTCCGGCAGGCCCAGCACGTAAGCAAGGGGGCTCCAGGTGGGGCTGACCCCAGGTCTGACAGGGTCGCCGAGACCACCAAGGGCCCCCACAAGCAGCCGCATCACAGACGCCCTGCCCGACCTCCCCAGTCGTGGTGGCATGGGGTGTGGCCTTTGCCCCCATGACCCTGAGTGGCCCCCCCAGGCCCGGATCTGCACCCAGCTGCTGACCCTGGTGGCCCCTGAGTGCAGCGTGTCCAAGGAGCCCTTCGTGCTAAGCTGCCAGGCGGACGTGGCCGCAGCCCCCCAGCCAGGCCCACAGAACAGCAGTTGTGCCACCCTGTCGGAGTACTCCCGCCAGTGCAGCATGGTGGGCCAGCCGGTCCGCCGCTGGCGGAGCCCCGGCCTGTGCTGTGAGTCCAGGGAAGGGAGAGGGAGGGGCAGGAAGGCCGAGGGCTCCAGACCCAGCTCTCCCAGCCCCTGGACTGCCTGACGTGACGCCTGCATCCCTCCTGGTCTGAGAGACAGGAGATCCTCGCTGCTGCTTCTAGATGGAGGAAGGGCTGGGCTAAGTCCTCCATCAAGCTGGGGTGGGGCAGGGAGGGGTGGGGGGGGTGGGACCCTCTCACCGGAGCCGCGTGTGCCCACAGCCGTGGGTCAGTGCCCGGCCAACCAGGTGTACCAGGAGTGCGGCTCGGCCTGCGTGAAGACCTGCTCCAACCCGCAGCACAGCTGCTCCAGCTCCTGCACCTTCGGGTGCTTCTGCCCGGAAGGTGAGGGCAGTCGCAGGCACTCT
Source organism: Homo sapiens (assembly GCF_000001405.40). Lineage (NCBI taxonomy): Eukaryota > Metazoa > Chordata > Mammalia > Primates > Hominidae > Homo > Homo sapiens. The sequence continues at coordinate 99,754 of NT_187656.1, read as the reverse complement.
CTCTCCCCGGGACCCCTAGAGAGAACCCAGAGACAAGGGGACGTCAGACCCCACCCACCCCGACCCAGGTCACCCCAACATTCTGCTGCCTGAGTCCCAGCTCTGGCGCCTCTTGCCCTGGGACAGGCTTTTCCCGCCTGGACGCTTACAGCCTGCAGGTCCCCCAGCCACGGCCACCCCTGCAAACCCACGGGCGGTGAGGGCTGCTCACTGCGGTCTAGGAGCTGCCGAGGGAAGGCAGGGTTTGAGCCGGGCCCAAGGGACAGTTACACGTCCCTGCCTGCTGGAGGCCACCACTCACCAGGAACCTGGGCCGGGCACATTGGCACGAGGGGCTGTGCACGCCCAGGGCCTGACATAGAGTTGCGAATGCAAGTGCAGCTGGAGAGAGGTCATGGCCCAGGCTAGAGGGGGCGTCTCCCTGGAGCCAGGCTGGAGGGGCGTCTCCCTGGAGCCAGGCTGGAGGGGGCGTCTCCCTGGAGCCAGGCTGGAGGGGGCGTCTCCCTGGAGCCAGGGAGGGGAGAGTGGGAGGCAGTCAGTCCCACCCAAGCCCCAAGAAGACCCTCTCCTGCAGGTACGGTCCTGAATGACCTCTCCAATAACCACACCTGCGTGCCCGTCACCCAGTGCCCCTGTGTGCTCCACGGCGCCATGTATGCCCCCGGGGAGGTCACAATAGCTGCCTGCCAAACCTGGTGAGTGAGGCGCCGGAGGGGGCTCTGGCCGGCCGGCAGGGGTTCCACTGGCCTAGGGCAGGCAGGGGTGTGCTGTCTGGCTCCAGCGGCCCTGCCCACCATGCCGCTACCCCCACGCCCACCCACAGCCGGTGCACCCTGGGCCGCTGGGTGTGCACGGAGCGGCCGTGCCCCGGACACTGCTCCCTGGAAGGTGGCTCCTTTGTTACCACATTTGACGCCAGGCCCTACCGCTTCCACGGCACCTGCACCTACATCCTCCTCCAGGTAGGACGAGCCCTGTGGCCCGTGGGGAGGGGCGCTCCCGGTGACCCCACCCGTGTCTGAGCCCCGCCCCCTCGCAGAGCCCCCAGCTTCCCGAGGACGGTGCCCTCATGGCTGTGTACGACAAGTCCGGCGTCTCACACTCCGAGACCTCCCTGGTGGCTGTGGTCTACCTCTCCAGGCAGGTAAGGCCTTTCCTGCGCCCATCCCTGCCAGCAGGGCTCCGCTCCCTGGTGCCTGCACCCTGACTCAGGCCACCCTCTCTCCAGGACAAAATTGTGATCTCTCAGGACGAGGTGGTCACCAACAACGGAGAAGCCAAGTGGCTGCCATACAAGACTCGTACGTCCTGGCCCAGTCTGTGGCCCCCCAGAGTTGTGCCTTCGGGGCGGGCTGCAGTGGGTGGGGAGGGAGCCCAGACGGCCCACTGAGCACTGCGTCCTGCAGGCAACATCACGGTCTTCAGGCAGACGTCCACCCACCTCCAGATGGCCACCAGCTTCGGGCTGGAGCTCGTGGTCCAGCTGCGCCCCATCTTCCAGGCCTATGTCACTGTTGGGCCCCAGTTCAGAGGTCAGACCAGAGGTGAGTCCCTGCCTCTCCAGGTGGCCCTGTTGCCTCATCCCTACAGGGTCTGGCCATGACCAGGGGAGGAGAAAGGTCCAAGAGAGGTTCACACAACCCTCTGTGTCCGGGGAGCCCCCAGGGGTAACAGGCACGTGTGGCCCACGCAGCCTCTCACCCAGGGTGCTGTTAGAGGAAGGACGGGAGCTCCAGGGCGTGTGGGCAGGAATGGGTGCAGGAGGGATGGGTTCAAGTCGAGCTCACGCCCCGCCGGCTCAGGGCTCTGCGGCAACTTCAACGGGGACACAACGGATGACTTCACCACTAGCATGGGTATCGCCGAGGGCACCGCCTCGCTGTTTGTGGACTCCTGGCGGGCGGGGAACTGTCCGGCCGCTCTGGAGCGTGAGACTGACCCCTGCTCCATGAGCCAGCTCAACAGTGAGTGTCCGGCCCCCCACTCCCCTGGCTGCCCCCCCAGCGCCCACAGTTCTGACAGACCCCTGGACTGGACCACAGGCCCAGCTGCCAGGGTGGGGGGTCCCTGGGAGGAGCCGTAGCTGGAATGGGAGGGGCCGGGACTCACGCCCGGGCCTGTCATCCCCAGAGGTGTGTGCAGAGACCCACTGCTCCATGCTGCTGAGGACAGGCACGGTGTTCGAGAGGTGCCACGCCACAGTGAACCCTGCACCCTTCTACAAGGTGAGGGCCCGAGGGCGTCTTGGGAGGGCTGCAGGGGAGGCTGTGGTGGCTGACAAGGTCTCAGGCACCCAAGGGCATAGGTTTGGGACCCCCATGTCCCCAGGGCAGGGTGCCTGCCACCAGCCCATGCTGGCTCTCTGCCCGCAGAGGTGCATGTACCAGGCCTGCAACTACGAGGAGACCTTTCCCCACATCTGTGCCGCCCTGGGCGACTACGTACACGCCTGCTCCTTGCGGGGCGTCCTGCTCTGGGGCTGGAGAAGCAGTGTGGACAACTGCAGTGAGTGCCCGACGGGGCTTAAGCGGGGTCACGGCAGGCTGGGCTCACGAGGGGGTGTCCTGGGACCCCAAGCTCTGAGGCTCTGCAGTGCCCGGCAGGCAGGGGAACCCGAGATTGCCCTCCCGGCCGCCCCCTCCCGGAGAGTCTGATGCCCGGGTCCCCCACAGCCATCCCCTGCACGGGTAACACCACCTTCAGCTACAACAGCCAAGCCTGTGAGCGCACCTGCCTGTCGCTGTCGGACCGTGCCACCGAGTGCCACCACAGCGCCGTGCCCGTGGACGGTTGCAACTGCCCCGATGGCACCTACCTGAACCAAAAGGGCGAGTGTGTGCGCAAGGCCCAGTGCCCGTGCATACTGGAGGGTTACAAGTTCATCCTGGCCGAGCAGTCCACTGTCATCAACGGCATCACCTGGTGAGGGACCGGGCAGGGGCCAGGCGGGGGGTCCCTGCCAGGTCCCGGGGTCTCACGCAGCCTCTCTCTTGCAGCCACTGCATCAACGGGCGGCTGAGTTGCCCGCAGCGGCCACAGATGTTCCTGGGTACGTACAGCAGCGCTGGCCGCAGGCTGGGACTGTGAGGGGCCCCGGCTTCCTCTGAGTGTCCTGACCGCGCACCCCTCTTTCCTGCAGCCTCCTGCCAGGCCCCTAAGACCTTCAAGTCCTGCAGCCAGTCCTCCGAGAACAAGTTTGGGGCAGCCTGTGCCCCCACATGCCAGATGCTGGCCACCGGTGTTGCCTGCGTAAGGGGGCGCGCGAGGAGCAGGGACAATGCCCGGGCCCCAGCTGAACCATGAGGGGGTTTCCACAGAACTCCGGGAGACCTGGCCGCATTCTGCCCTGCAGCGGGTGCCTGGGGCTGGCCACGAGGTGGAAGCGGCCCTGTGGCCAGGCAGCTGGAGGCCCCGGGGGCTCGTCTGCAGGGCTCCCTAAGGACAGTGGGCACCAGCTCGGGGAGGGTGGGCTGCCCATGTGTGGGAGTGGGTACAGCAGCCCAGCCGTGTGCACTGGGTCCCAGGACCTTCCACGAGGTGGGGGAAGCTTTGCTAAGGCAGTAAGCCCAGCTGCCCACAAAGGCCACAGAGCAGGGCTGTATTCAGGGAGAGGACCTGGGAGACACGCCGGGCAGTCTCAGAGGGGCCCAGGGCTGGGCAGCAGCTGGCTGAGGCCACCCTCCCAGGAGCTGCTGACCTGCCTCCCTCCAGGTGCCCACCAAGTGTGAGCCTGGCTGTGTCTGCGCCGAGGGCCTCTACGAGAATGCCGACGGGCAGTGTGTGCCCCCCGAGGAGTGCCCATGTGAGTTCTCGGGGGTCTCCTACCCTGGAGGAGCTGAGCTCCACACTGACTGCAGGACCTGGTGAGACAAAGCCTCGCTTCAGACGCCCTGGGCTCCTGGGGCCATCTGGGGCAGGCGGAGGCTGCCCGGGGTGGGGCTGTCCCAGAGGCGGGGGCGTCCAGAGGTGCAGTCTGGCCTCTCCAGGGACCACACCCAGTATGGCAGGAGGGCCGCAGGCCCACCACCCACACCTGCTGTCTCCACAGCTCCTGCTCAAGGGGGAGGTGGGCCTGTCAGCAGGGCACCCACTGCCCATCCACCTGCACCCTCTACGGGGAGGGCCACGTCATCACCTTCGACGGCCAGCGCTTCGTATTCGACGGCAACTGCGAGTACATCCTGGCCACGGTAACCATCGGGTGCCAGGCCGCAGGGGCCGGGGACCCAGAGGCACGGCCTCCAGGGCTCCTCCTCAGCGCCCTCTCCCTGCAGGACGTCTGTGGTGTCAACGACTCACAGCCCACCTTCAAGATCCTGACAGAGAACGTCATCTGTGGGAACTCCGGGGTCACATGCTCACGGGCCATCAAGATCTTCCTGGGGGTGAGCAGCCGGGCAGACTCTGGCAGGGCAGGACGGGCGGTAGGGGGCCCTGCCACACAGCTGGATCCCGCGCACTGGAGCCTCCAGGTCCTGCCCCGAGATGCAGCCCTCCCCGCCTGCCTCTCCTTGAGGGGTGCCTGCTGCCCCTCCCTGGCCAGACGCTCAGGACCACGGGTGCTTGTGCCCCACAAGGTTTCAGGGACTGCAGAATGTCTCCCGGGCAGAGGGGAGGGACTCTCCAGGAAGCCCGAGCTTCAGCCCTCAGCCCTGTTCCAGGCATGCCAGGCCCTTCTGCCCCAAGCTGGCTCTCAGCAGGCGCTCCTGTGCATGGCCTTAACAGACCTGGGCAGCTCTGTCTCTGAGAGCTCGGTCCAGCACGGCTGTGCCAGGGGCCGGGGGAGACAGACAGGCAGTCCTATGCCAACCCCACCCCACAGGGCCTGTCCGTGGTGCTGGCGGACAGAAACTACACGGTCACCGGGGAGGAGCCCCACGTGCAGCTCGGGGTGACGCCGGGTGCGCTGAGCCTTGTCGTGGACATCAGCATCCCCGGGAGGTACAACCTGACGCTCATCTGGAACAGGCACATGACCATCCTCATCAGGATCGCCCGTGCCTCCCAGGTACCGCACGCCCTCTGCCTCCTCCCAGGCCCTCCCTGATGCAGGGGTGGAGACAGATGGCACGGCCCCTGGGCCCGGCCTGATGCCACCGTCTGCAGGATCCCCTCTGCGGCTTGTGTGGCAACTTCAACGGGAACATGAAGGACGACTTCGAGACGCGCAGCAGGTACGTGGCATCCAGCGAGCTGGAGTTGGTGAACTCGTGGAAGGAGAGCCCGCTGTGCGGGGACGTGAGCTTCGTGACAGACCCCTGCAGTCTCAATGCCTTCCGGCGCTCCTGGGCCGAGCGCAAGTGCAGCGTCATCAACAGCCAGACCTTTGCCACCTGCCACAGCAAGGTGGGCACCGGGCACGAGGGCTGTGCGCCTGCCCCTCCACAAATGTCCGGTGGGGGCGGGGGAAGGGGCGGGGAAGCCAGGCACGGTTCTCCCTCCGTGGGATCCCAGACCAGCCAGGTCAGGGTGCAGAGAGTTTCAGACCCTCTGCCTGAGTGCAGGGCCCTGATGTGGGGCCGACTCGTGCACTGTGGCTGTTAAGCAGCCCCCCGGCCTCCACCCACCAGATGCCAATAGCACCCCCAGACAGTGCCACGAGTCCCCTGGGGCAGCATCGCCTGGTGGGCCCCCTGCTCAGGAGCTGGTGGTCAGGGAGACCTCCAGGATGCAGGGCGTGCACTTCCCAGCCCAGGGCGTGATCCGGCCATCGCGGCGCAGTAAGAACTGAGAGGATGGGGGCACCCCGCGGGGGAACAGCATGGCACTGGCCCGCTGAATGTGAGCGTGACGTGGGGGGAGCAGAGACCCTGGGTGGGACTGCAGTGGCCGTGGTTAGCGGCAGCGGCATCTTGGTCCCGATGGCGGGTCTCAAGGCGTGAGCTCGGGTCAGGCCTCCGTGGCAGCATCGGCTCCGGGAGCGTGGCTAGCGGTCAGGGCTGAGGTCCACGTGGTGCCGCTCACCCAGTCCCAGCGCCCTTACCGCCACACTCCGGCCTGACCACACTGAGGGCCCTGCAGGTGGCAAAGCCTGATGCCCCGCCATCCCCCGGCAGCCAGACACTGACTGGCACACACCCCTGCAGGTATACCACCTGCCCTACTACGAGGCCTGCGTGCGCGACGCATGTGGGTGTGACAGTGGCGGGGACTGTGAGTGTCTGTGCGATGCCGTGGCTGCCTACGCCCAAGCCTGTCTGGACAAGGGTGTGTGCGTGGACTGGAGGACCCCGGCCTTCTGCCGTGAGTGACCACCCCTCCCACAGGTTGCTCCAGCCCCTGCCACCCAGCGCCACTAAGGGCCGGCGCAGGGCTGCCCTTGCCCACAGGCCCCTCTCCCTGGACAGGCGCCGGGCTGTGCCCTGCGGGGCCACCCTGGCCCTCCCGCAGCCCCCAGCTGCCCAGGGGAGGCTTCACCAAGAGGGCCCAGACCTTCCCCGCCCACACTCAGGTTCCATGCATGCCCAGGGGAACCACCGGGTCAGGGCCAGGGCCAGGGCCAGGAACCCCACCAGCTGACAGCTCCCTTCCTCCCAGCCATCTACTGCGGCTTCTACAACACGCACACGCAGGACGGCCATGGCGAGTACCAGTACACACAGGAGGCCAACTGCACGTGGCACTACCAGCCCTGCCTCTGCCCCAGCCAGCCACAGAGCGTCCCAGGCAGCAACATCGAAGGTGCCAGGTGACCGGGAGGCAACGCAGATACACAGGGGGACCCATTCACTCATTCATGCACATTCATTCATTCACACGCATTCATTCATTCACACATTCATTCATGCTCATTAATTCACACATTCATTAATTTGCACACATTCATTCACACACACTCACGCACATTCACATTCATTCATGCAGATTCATGCATTCATTCACGCATATTCATTCATTCACGCACATTTGTTCATCCACTCACACACACTCATGCACATTCATTCACACATTCATTCACGCAGTCACTACACACACATTCATTCATGCTCATTCACGCAGTCACATTCCCGCAGATTCATGCACATTCATTCACGCACATTCACTCACGCACATTCACGCACACTCATGCACATTCACTCCATTCATCCATTCATTCACCCACACACACTCATTCAACATATTCACGCTCATTCACATTCATTCACGCACATTCACTCAACACATTCACATTCATTCATGCTCATTCACACATTTACTCACCCACATTCATGCACATTCACGCACTCATGCATTCATTTACGCACATTTGTTCACTCACGCACATTCACTCATGCACATTCACGCACATTCATTCAACATTCACTCACGCACATTCACCCATGCACATTCATTCACACATATTCATTCATTCATTCATGTTTGCTTATTCATTCATGCACATTCGCTCATACACACACGCACATTCATGCATTCATTTGCACATTCATTCTTTCACACACACAGTCACTCAGCAGATGGGTCCTGAGCACCTCTGTCCTCCAGGCCGGCTCCAGGTCAGGGGACCTGGCCTTACACAAAACAAACAGTCCTGCAACCTGGAGCTTCCCTCCCAGCCAGGGAGAGGTGCTTAAGGAGGCAGACCCAGTGTCGGCCGAGGCGCCCACCATGGAGAGGAGAAAGGCAGGCTGGGGTGGGAGAGCCACAGGCTTCTGTGCCACACAGGGTGGTTGGGGCCCTTGGTGGGAGGCAGATGTGAGGGCGAGGATGGGAAAGGTGAGGAGGGGAGCCAGGAAAGTGTCCAGAGGAGCAGCCAGGAGCAGCCTTGTGCCCAGAACCCTTAAGAAAGCCAGGGCAGCGGGCAGAGCCAGCGAGTGAGGGGCGCGGGCTGCAGAGGGCAGAGGGAGCGGTGGAGGGGTGCGGGGCTGTAGAGGGCAGATGGAGTGAGTGAGGGGCGCGGGGCTGTAGAGGGCAGAAGGAGCGAGTGGGGCGCGGGGCTGCAGAGGGCAGAGCAAGCGAGTGAGGGGCACAGGGCTGCAGAGGGCAGAGGGAGTGAGTGAGGGGCACGGGGCTGTAGAGGGCAGAGGGAGCGAGTGAGGGGCGTGGGCTGCAGAGGGCAGAGCGAGTGAGGGGTGCGGGGCTGCAGAGGGCAGAGGGAGCGAGTGAGAGGCGCGGGGCTGCAGAGGGCAGAGGGAGCGAGTGAGGGGCACCGGGCTGCAGAGGGGTGTGGGGTACACAGACTTGTGGGGTGGGGTGTGGCCGGGAGGGAGGGGTCTTTGTGAGGCCTGTGGCTGCCCCAAGGCAGAGGTCTGAATGCAGAGGGTCCTGGGATTAACAGGTCCTGGCCCAAGTGGTGGAGGAGGGTGGTGTCTGGAGCCATCCGGACACACAGAGGACAGATGTGTTGGGGCTCAGGAGGGCAATGCAGGGCACCTGCATCGGGGAGCACAGAAGAGGGGCCAGTGTCTGAGGTCCAGGGGGAGGTGAGGACTGGAAGATGGCACCGAAGCCCCAGCCCCGGGTGATAAGCAGGGTATGAGAGACCAAGGCCTGAGGAAGGCATGGCAGGAAAGGAGGGGCTTAGAGCAAGGTGCGCGGGTGAAACTGTAATCCCAGCACTCTGGGAGGCCGAGGCAGGAAGATCACCTCAGGTCAAGAGTTTGAGACCAGCCTGGCCAACGTGGCGAAGCCCCATCACTACTAAAAATACAAAAATTAGCCGGGCGTCATGGCACATGCCTGCAATCGCAGCTACCTGGGAGGCTGGGGCAGGAGAATCATGTGAATCCAGGAGGCAGAGGTTGCAGTGAGCGAAGATTGTGCCACTGCACTCCAGCCTGGGCGACAGAGCGAGACTCTGTCTCAAAAAAAAAAAAAAAAAAAAGCAGAGAGGAAGGAGGCCGCCAGGGCAGGAAACACGCAGGTGGGCCTGGCTGGCCACCAGTCACACAGACCCTGGCCGTTCTCCACCCTAGGCTGCTACAACTGCTCCCAGGATGAGTACTTCGACCACGAGGAGGGGGTGTGCGTGCCCTGCAGTAAGTCCAGTCGGCTGCCCTGAGAACCCTGCCCCTGCCTGCATGCAGGCAGAACGCACGTCCACATCCCACAAACAAGGGAGAGAGCCCTCGGGGGCTGTGAGCCCTTACGTGAGCTCTGGGACTCCACTCTCCAGGACCCTGGCCCCTTGGGTCTCCAGAGACTCAGGCAGCCTCCAGCCCATGGCAGCAGAGAGAAAAAAACACAGCACTGAACCCCACTGGGCCCTCCCATCCCCTCTTCCACCAGCTCCCAGCTCCCCCTACCCTCACCAGGCCTGCCAGGGTGCCTGGGGTATAGAGTGGGAATCATCCTGGGAAGGAGAAAGGGAGAGAGGGGAGGGTGGGCTCCCAGCCCCTCCAGTCCCCTCCACCACAGCCTTGGTGAGCATCTCTGACTCAGGCCCTCGGAGCTCCCAGAGGCCCCACGGGGTGGGGAGGCTTAGAGAACCACAGGGAGCTGACCCCATCTTCTTGCAGTGCCGCCCACCACGCCGCAGCCACCCACCACGCCGCAGCTGCCCACCACAGGTAATTGCACGCACACTAGGTGCCAAGGTGACGCAGGCCCTTTCCTGGGCTCCCCTCGGTTCCCTGGACAAATCTGTCGGGTGGGAAGCAGGGAGGGGGCAGGCAGTACCTGTGCCCTTCTCAGGTCTAACCTGGCAATCAGAGTTGGGGAGGAGCTCAGCCCACAGCCAGGAAGCAGCCTGGTCCCCATGGCCCTGGCTGGACCCACGGATGAGCACAGAGTGGGGCCTCAACAGGTGACCCCCGCCATGCAGGAGGCCCAGCCAGGAGCCAGGCTGCACTCAGAGTGCCACAGGCCAGCCCTCAACTGCACATCATTGGCCCCTGCAGGGCTGCCCGGCTTCAGGGCCAAGCAGGCAGAGGGGAGGGTGCTCCCCAAGGATATGCCGGTACCCTGCAGCCCTGATGGCATGTCCGCCCACCCAGGCTCACGGCCCACGCAAGTCTGGCCCATGACGGGAACCTCCACCACCATCGGGCTTCTCAGCTCCACCGGACCCTCACCCAGCTCTAATCACACCCCTGCCAGCCCCACCCAGACACCCCTCCTTCCAGCCACGCTCACATCCTCCAAGCCCACAGCCTCCTCGGGAGGTAAGGAGCCTCCAGCTGAGCCCATGGAGAGGGCAGCTGCAGGAGGTCCTAGGTACACCTCTGGGGTGGGCTTAGGGATGGCCCTGCTTCCTGGCTCACATCTGCCACTAAGCAGATTCCCAGCGTAGAACTTCCTATGCTTGGGAGCCAAACTGGGGATTTTTCGGAAAAACTTTTAAAGACAAGCTGGTCATGGCATGGGGCATTCCTTGCTGCTGGCTGCTGTCACTAGAAACCGTGTGGGACCTGCAGGGCCTCTGCCAGGCAGCCTGCCCCTGCCCCACACCGAGCAGGGCCCCATCTGCTGCCCAGGGACCCTGGAGGGGACAGGACGACAGTCCGTTCAGCTAAGCAAGGGTGGGCGCAGGAGCAGCCGCAGCCCCATAAGCATGTGGTCACTGCCCCAGCTCTGGCCACCACAGCCAGGAGTACGGTGGGAGGACCTAACAAAGGCAAGAGGAAGAGCCCCTCCAAGGAGGCTGAGTCCCGGACAGCAGGCCAGGGATCCCAGAAGCAGGGCAGGGGGCTGGGACACAAGCCTTCGAAATGCAGGCCCACAGCAAGGGGATGTTCCGGGCGGCTGTCCTCTGCAGAACCACCTAGACCAACCACGGCCGTCACCCCACAAGCCACATCAGGGCTGCCTCCCACAGCCACACTGAGATCGACAGCCACAAAACCCACAGTGACCCAGGCCACAACCAGGGCCACGGCATCGACCGCCAGCCCAGCCACGACGTCCACAGCTCAGTCCACAACACGGACCACAATGACACTACCAACCCCAGCCACATCAGGGACAAGCCCCACGCTGCGTAAGTCATGGCGCCATGGGATGCCAGCACTGCCGAAGGCACCCGGTCCCACCACCAGCTCACATTCAGTGATTCAGCCATAAAGAAGACCCCGTATTTCCCAGAGGGCAAGCGAGAAGGCAGCCCAAAAGTGTAGGCTGGAGCTGGAGGCAAGGAAGGCCGCCTGGCACTCACAAAGGCAGGCCTGGGGAGCAGAGGTGCAGGAGGGTGGGGGCCACCACCACGGCCACAGGGAACCAGAAGGGGATAAAGTAGGGCCTGGGTTCCAGTCACAGAGCGGCAGCTGCACTGAAGGAGTCAGCACGCAGCTCAGGGCAGGATGTGGAGCAAGTCCAGGTGAGATGGAGACAATGGGGCAGGCTGGAGTGCCCAGCAGGGGCCATGTCACAGGAACAGAGGCACAGACAGGCAAGAAAAAGGTCACATAGACAAAAGGACGGGCCAGCGGAGGTCAGGGTAGAGAAACAAAAACAATAACGATGACAACTTCACCAATTCCCACAGCAAAATCGACCAATCAGGAACTGCCAGGAACAACGGCCACCCAGACGACAGGCCCACGTCCAACCCCAGCAAGCACCACAGGCCCAACCACCCCACAGCCAGGACAACCCACGAGGCCCACAGCCACAGAGACCACTCAAACAAGAACGACTACTGAATACACAACGCCCCAAACCCCACACACCACACACTCCCCGCCTACGGCGGGGAGTCCCGTCCCTTCCACAGGTCCTGTCACTGCAACATCTTTCCATGCCACCACTACCTATCCAACCCCATCACACCCTGAGACCACACTTCCCACTCACGTTCCACCTTTCTCCACCTCCTTGGTGACTCCAAGTACTCACACAGTCATCACCCCTACCCACGCACAGATGGCCACATCTGCCTCCATCCACTCAGCGCCAACAGGTACCATTCCTCCACCAACAACGCTCAAGGCCACAGGGTCCACCCACACAGCCCCACCAATAACGCCGACCACCAGTGGGACCAGCCAAGCCCACAGCTCATTCAGCACAAACAAAACACCTACCTCGCTACATTCACACACTTCCTCCACACACCATCCTGAAGTCACCCCAACTTCTACTACCACGATTACTCCCAACCCCACTAGTACACGCACCAGAACCCCTGTGGCCCACACCAACTCAGCCACCAGCAGCAGGCCACCACCACCCTTCACCACACACTCCCCACCTACAGGGAGCAGTCCCTTCTCTTCCACAGGTCCCATGACGGCAACATCCTTCAAGACCACCACTACCTATCCAACCCCATCACTCCCTCAGACCACTCTTCTCACTCACGTTCCACCTTTCTCAACCTCTTTGGTGACTCCAATTACTCACACAGTCATCACCCCTACCCACCCACAGATGTCCACTTCTGCCTATATCCACTCAACGCCAACAGGCACGATTGCTCCACCAACAACAGTTAAGGCCACAAGGTCCACCTACACAGCCCCACTAATGACGGCAACCACCAGTAGGATCAGCCAAGCCCACAGCTCAATCAGCACAGCCAAAACCTCTACATCCCTCCACTCACATGCTTCCTCCACACACCATCCTGAAGTCACCCCAACTTCTACCACCAACGTGACTCCCAAGTCTACCAGTAGAGGCACCAGCACCCCTGTGACCCACACCACCTCGGCCACCAGTAGCAGGCCACCCACACCCATCACAACACACTCTTCACCTACCAGGAGCAGTCCCCTCTCTTCCACAGGTCGTATGACTGCAACATCTCTCAAGACCACCACTACCTATCCAACCCCATCACAAGCTCACATCACACTTCCCATTCATGTTCCACCTTTCTCCACCTCATCGGTGACTCCAAGTACTCACACAGTCATCACCCCAACCCACCCACAGATGTCCACTTCTGCCTCCAACCACTCAACGTCAACAGGCACCATTCCTCCACTGACAACGCTCATGGCCACAGGGTCCACACACACAGCCCCACTAATAACAGTGACCACCAGTAGGACCAGCCAAGTCCACAGCTCCTTCAGCACAGCCAAAACCTCTACATCCCTCCTCTCCCATGCTTCCTCCACACACCATCCAGAAATCACCACAAATTCTACCACCACCATTACTCCCAACCCCACTAGTACAGGCACCGGAACCCCTGTGGCCCACACCACCTCAGCCACCAGCAGCAGGCCACCACCACCCTTCACCACACACTCCCCACCTACAGAGAGCAGTCCCCTCTCTCCCACAGGTCCTATGACTCCAACATCCTTCAAGACCACCACTACCTATCCAACCACATCACACCCTCAGACCACACTTCCCACTCACGTTCCACCTTTCTCCAGCTCGTCAGTGACTCCAAGTACTCACACAGTCATCACCCCTACCCATGCACAGATGTCCACTTCTGCCTCGATCCACTCAACGCCAACAGGTACCATTCCTCCACTGACAACGCTCACGGCCACAGGGTCCACACACACAGCCTCACCAATGACGGGGACCACCATTCGGACCACCCAAGCCCACAGCTCATTCAGCATAGCCAAAACCTCTACATCCATCCTCTCACATGCTTCCTCCACACACCATCCGGAAACCACACCAACTTCTACCACCAACATTACTCCCAAGTCCACTAGTGCAGGAACCAGCACCCCTGTGGCCCACACCACCTTGGCCACCAGCAGCAGGCCACCCACACCCTTCACCACACACTCCCCACCTACAGGGAGCAGTCCCATCTCTTCCACAGGTCCTATGACTGCAACATCCATCAAGACCACCACGACCTATCCAACCCCATCACACCCTCAGACCACACTTACCACTCATGTTCCACCTTTCTCCACCTCATCAGTCACTCCAAGTACTCACACAGTCATCACCCCTACCCACGCACAAATGTCCACTTCTGCTTCGATCCACTCAACGCCAACAGGCACCGTTCCTCCACTGACAACGCGCATGCCCACAGGGTCGACACACACAGGCCCACCAATGACGGGGACCATTATTCAGACAAGCAAAGCTCACAACTCATTCAGCACAGCCAAAACTTCTACATCTCTCCACTCACATGCTTCCTCCACACACCATCCTGAAACCACACCAACTTCTACCACCAACATTACTCCCAAGCCCACTAGTGCAGGAACCAGCACCCCTGTGGCCCACACTACCTTGGCCACCAGCAGCAGGCTACCTACAACCTTCACCACACACTTCCCATCTACAGGGAGCAGTCCTGTCTCTTCCACAGGTCCTATGACTGCAACATCCTCCCAGACCACCACTACCTATCCAACCCCATCACACCCTCAGACCACTCTTCCCACTCACATTCCACCTTTCTCCACCTCCTTGGTGACTCCAAGTACTCACACAGTCATCACCCCTACCCGCGCACAAATGTCCACTTCTGCCTCCATCCACTCAACGCCAACAGGCACCATTCCTCCACCTACAACGCTAAAGGCCACAGGCACCACCCACACGCACACAACAAGGACAATGACAGTGACCACCACCAGCCAAGCCCTGAGGTCATTATATATCGGCACAGCCTCTACATCCATACCTTTACACTCACATGCTTCATCCCATCTCCGAACCTGACGTCACTTCTACTACTAACATCACCATCACCCCCAACCCCACCAGTACAGGAACCCCACCAATGACAGTGACCACCAGTGGGACCAGCCAATCCCGAAGCTCATTTAGCACGGCCAAAACCTCTACATCCCTACATTCACACACTTCCTCCACACACCATCCTGAAGTCACCTCAACTTCTACCACCAGCATCACCCCCAACCACACCAGTACAGGCACCAGAACCCCTGTGGCCCACACCACGTCGGCCACCAGCAGCAGGCTACCCACACCCTTCACCACACACTCCCCACCTACAGGGACCACTCCCATCTCTTCCACAGGTCCTGTCACTGCAACATCCTTCCAGACCACCACTACCGATCCAACCCCATCACACCCTCACACCACACTTCCCACTCACGTTCCATCTTTCTCCACCTCCTTGGTGACTCCAAGTACTCACATAGTCATCACCCCTACCCACGCACAGATGGCCACTTCTGCCTCCATCCACTCAATGCCAACAGGCACTATTCCTCCACCGACCACGATCAAGGCCACAGGGTCCACCCACACAGCCCCACCAATGACGGCAACCACCAGTGGGACCAGCCAATCCCCAAGCTCATTTAGCACGGCCAAAACTTCTACATCCCTACATTCACACATTTCCTCAACACATCATCCTGAAGTCACCCCAACTTCTACCACCACCATCACCCCCAACCACACCAGTACAGGCACCAGAACCCCTGTGGCCCACACCACCTCGGCCACCAGCAGCAGGCTACCCATACCCTTCACCACACATTCCCCACCTACAGGGAGCAGTCCCATCTCTTCCACAGGTCCTATGACTGCAACATCCTTTCAGACCACCACTACCTATCCAACCCCATCACACCCTCAGACCACACTTCCCACTCACATTCCACCTTTCTCCACCTCCTTGGTGACTCCAAGTACTCACACAGTCATCATCACTACCCACACACAGATGGCCACTTCTGCCTCCATCCACTCAACGCCAACAGGCACCGTTCCTCCACCAACAACGCTCAAGGCCACAGGGTCCACCCACACAGCGCCAACAATGACGCCGACCACCAGCGGGACGAGCCAAGCCCTGAGCTCATTCAACACAGCCAAAACCTCTACATCCCTACATTCACAAACTTCCTCCACACACCTTCCTGAAGTCACCCCAACTTCTACCGCCATCACCCCCAATCCCACCAGTCCAGGAACCGGCACCCCTGTGGCCCACACCACCTCAGCCACCAGCAGCAGGCTAACCACACCCTTCACCACACACTCCTCACCTACAGGGAGCAGTCCCTTCTCTTCCACAGGTCCTATGACTGCAACATCCTTCCAGACCACCACTACCTATCCAACCCCATCACACCCTCAGACCACACTTCCCACTCACGTTCCACCTTTCTCCACCTCTTTGGTGACTCCAAGTACTCACACAGTCATCACCCCTACCCATGCACAGATGGCCACTTCTGCCTCCATCCACTCAATGCCAACAGGCACGATTCCTCCACCGACAACGCTCAAGGCCACAGGGTCCACCCACACAGCGCCAACAATGACGCTGACCACCAGCGGGACCAGCCAAGCCCTGAGCTCATTAAACACAGCCAAAACCTCTACATCCCTACATTCACACACTTCCTCCACACACCATGCTGAAGCCACCTCAACTTCTACCACCAACATCACCCCCAACCCCACCAGTACAGGAACTGGGGCGCGTGTGGCCCACACCACCTCAGCCACCAGCAGCAGGCTAACCCCGCCCTTCACCACACACTCCCCACCTACAGGGTAACAACGCTCAAGGCCACAGGGTCCATCCACACAGCCCCACCAATGACGCCGACCACCAGTGGGACCAGCCAATCCCCAAGCTCATTTAGCATGGCCAAAACTTCTACATCCCTACCTTACCACACTTCCTCCACACACCATCCTGAAGTCACCCCAACTTCTACCACCAACATCACCCCCAAACACACCAGTACAGGCACAAGAACCCCTGTGGCCCACACCACCTCGGCCACCAGCAGCAAGCTACCCACACCCTTCACCACACACTCCCCACCTACAGGAAGCAGTCCCATCTCTTCCACAGGTCCTGTCACTGCAACATCCTTCCAGACCACCACTACCTATCCAACCCCATCACACTCTCACACCACACTTCCCACTCACGTTCCACCTTCCTCCACCTCCTTGGTGACTCCAAATACTCACACAGTCATCACCCATACCCATGCACAGATGTCCACTTCTGCCTCCATCCACTCAACGCCAACAGGCACCATTCCTCCACCGACAACGCTCAAGGCCACAGGGTCCACCCACACAGCCCCACCAATGACGCCGACCACCAGTGGGACCAGGCAAGCCCCAAGCTCATTCAGCACAGCCAAAACTTCTACATCCCTACATTCACACACTTCCTCCACACACCATCCTGCAGTCACCCCAACTTCTACCACCACCATCACCCCCAACCACACCAGTACAGGCACCAGGACCCCTGTGGCCCACACCACTTCGGCCACCAGCAGCAGGCTACCCACACCCTTCACCACACACTCCCCACCGACAGGGAGCAGTCCCATCTCTTCCACAGCTCCCTGTCACTGCAACATCCTTCCAGACCACCACTACCCTATCCAACCCACATCACAGTCTCAGTACCACACTTCCCACTCACATTCCACCTTTCTCCACCTCCTTGGTGACTCCAAGTACACACACAGTCATCACCCCAACTTCTACCACCATCACCCCCAATCCCACCAGTACAGAAACCGTCACCCCTGTGGCCCACACCACCTCAGCCACCAGCAGCAGGCTAACCACACCCTTCACCACACACTCCCCACCTACAGGGAGCAGTCCCATCTCTTCCACAGGTCCTGTCACTGCAACATCCTTCCATGCCACCACTACCTATCCAACACCATCACACCCTCAGACCACACTTCCCACTCACGTTCCATCTTTCTCCACCTCCTTGGTGACTCCAAGTACTCACACAGTCATCACCCCTACCCACGCACAGATGACCACTTCTGCCTCCATCCACTCAATGCCAACAGGCACCATTCCTCCACCGACAACGCTGAAGGCCACAGGGTCCACCCACACAGCCCCACCAATGATGCCAACCACCAGTGGGACCAGCCAAGCCTCAAGCTCATTCAACACAGCCAAAACCTCTACATCCCTACATTCACACACTTCCTCCACACACCATCCTGAAGTCACCCCAACTTCTATCACCAACATCACCCTCAACCCCACCAGTATAGGAACCTGGACACCCGTGGCCCACACCACCTCAGCCACCAGCAGCAGGCTAACCACACCCTTCACCACACACTCCCCACCTACAGGGACCACTCCCATCTCTTCCACAGGTCCTGTCACTGCAACATCCTTCCATGCCACCACTACCTATCCAACACCATCACACCCTCAGACCACACTTCCCACTCACGTTCCATCTTTCTCCACCTCCTTGGTGACTCCAAGTACTCACATAGTCATCACCCCTACCCACGCACAGATGGCCACTTCTGCCTCCATCCACTCAATGCAAACAGGCACCATTCCTCCACCGACCACGATCAAGGCCACAGGGTCCACCCACACAGCCCCACCAATGACACCGACCACCAGTGGGACCAGCCAATCCCTAAGCTCATTTAGCACGGCCAAAACTTCTACATCCCTACCTTACCACACTTCCTCCACACACCATCCTGAAGTCACCCCAACTTCTACCACCAACATCACCCCCAAACACACCAGTACAGGCACCAGAACCCCTGTGGCCCACACCACCTCGGCCACCAGCAGCAGACTACCCACACCCTTCACCACACATTCCCCACCTACAGGGAGCAGTCCCATCTCTTCCACAGGTCCTATGACTGCACCATCCTTTCAGACCACCACTACCTATCCAACCCCATCACACCCTCAGACCACACTTCCCACTCACATTCCACCTTTCTCCACCTCCTTGGTGACTCCAAGTACTCACAAGGTCATCACCCCTACCCATGCACAGATGTCCACTTCTGCCTCCATCCACTCAACGCCAACAGGCACCATTCCTCCACTAACAACGCTCAAGGTCACAGGGTCCACCCACACAGCCCCACCAATCACAGTGACCACCAGTGGGACCAGCCCATCCGCAAGCTCATTTAGCACAGGCAAAACCTCTACATCCTTACATTCACACACTTCCTCCACACACTATCCTGAAGTCACCCCAACTTCTACCACCACCATCACCCCCAACCACACCAGTACAGGCACCAGAACCCCTGTGGCCCACACCACCTCGGCCACCAGCAGCAGGCTACCCATACCCTTCACCACACATTCCCCACCTACAGGGAGCAGTCCCATCTCTTCCACAGGTCCTATGACTGCAACATCCTTCCAGACCACCACTACCTATCCAACCCCATCACACCCTCAGACCACACTTCCCACTCACGTTCCACCTTTCTCCACCTCTTTGGTGACTCCAAGTACTCACACAGTCATCACCCCTACCCATGCACAGATGGCCACTTCTGCCTCCATCCACTCAATGCCAACAGGCACGATTCCTCCACCGACAACGCTCAAGGCCACAGGGTCCACCCACACAGCGCCAACAATGACGCTGACCACCAGCGGGACCAGCCAAGCCCTGAGCTCATTAAACACAGCCAAAACCTCTACATCCCTACATTCACACACTTCCTCCACACACCATGCTGAAGCCACCTCAACTTCTACCACCAACATCACCCCCAACCCCACCAGTACAGGAACCCCACCAATGACAGTGACCACCAGTGGGACCAGCCAATCCCGAAGCTCATTTAGCACGGCCAAAACCTCTACATCCCTACATTCACACACTTCCTCCACACACCATCCTGAAGTCACCTCAACTTCTACCACCAGCATCACCCCCAACCACACCAGTACAGGCACCAGAACCCCTGTGGCCCACACCACGTCGGCCACCAGCAGCAGGCTACCCACACCCTTCACCACACACTCCCCACCTACAGGGACCACTCCCATCTCTTCCACAGGTCCTGTCACTGCAACATCCTTCCAGACCACCACTACCTATCCAACCCCATCACACCCTCACACCACACTTCCCACTCACGTTCCATCTTTCTCCACCTCCTTGGTGACTCCAAGTACTCACACGGTCATCATCCCTACCCACACACAGATGGCCACTTCTGCCTCCATCCACTCAATGCCAACAGGCACCATTCCTCCACCGACCACGATCAAGGCCACAGGGTCCACCCACACAGCCCCACCAATGACACCGACCACCAGTGGGACCAGCCAATCCCCAAGCTCATTTAGCACGGCCAAAACTTCTACATCCCTACCTTACCACACTTCCTCAACACACCATCCTGAAGTCACCCCAACTTCTACCACCAACATCACCCCCAAACACACCAGTACAGGCACCAGAACCCCTGTGGCCCACACCACCTCGGCCAGCAGCAGCAGGCTACCCACACCCTTCACCACACACTCCCCACCTACAGGGAGCAGTCCCTTCTCTTCCACAGGTCCTATGACTGCAACATCCTTCCAGACCACCACTACCTATCCAACCCCATCACACCCTCAGACCACACTTCCCACTCACGTTCCACCTTTCTCCACCTCCTTGGTGACTCCAAGTACTCACACAGTCATCATCACTACCCACACACAGATGGCCACTTCTGCCTCCATCCACTCAACGCCAACAGGCACCGTTCCTCCACCAACAACGCTCAAGGCCACAGGGTCCACCCACACAGCCCCACCAATGACAGTGACCACCAGTGGGACCAGCCAAACCCACAGCTCATTCAGCACAGCTACAGCCTCTTCTTCCTTCATATCCTCCTCGTCTTGGCTGCCTCAGAACTCTAGCTCAAGGCCACCGTCATCACCTATCACCACACAACTCCCCCACTTGAGTTCTGCAACCACTCCTGTTTCCACAACTAATCAGCTGTCCTCCTCATTTTCTCCCAGTCCTTCTGCCCCCTCTACTGTTTCTTCTTATGTGCCCTCCTCCCACTCCTCTCCCCAGACTTCATCGCCTTCTGTTGGCACATCTTCCTCTTTCGTGTCCGCCCCCGTGCACTCCACAACCCTGAGCTCGGGGTCACACTCCTCATTGTCCACTCATCCCACGACTGCATCAGTGTCTGCATCTCCTCTTTTTCCTTCTTCTCCAGCTGCCTCTACTACCATTAGGGCCACTCTCCCCCACACTATCTCCTCTCCTTTCACCCTCTCTGCTCTACTCCCCATATCCACTGTTACCGTGTCTCCCACCCCATCCAGCCACCTAGCCTCCAGCACCATTGCATTTCCGTCCACGCCCAGGACCACGGCCAGCACCCACACCGCCCCTGCCTTCTCCTCTCAGTCCACCACCTCGCGGTCCACTTCTCTCACCACCCGAGTTCCCACATCAGGCTTTGTGTCACTCACCTCGGGGGTGACGGGTATCCCCACCTCTCCAGTCACCAACCTTACCACCAGGCACCCTGGTCCCACCTTGTCGCCTACCACACGGTTCCTGACCAGCTCCCTCACTGCCCATGGAAGCACCCCTGCTTCTGCCCCGGTATCTTCTCTCGGGACACCTACGCCCACCTCACCCGGTAAGTGGCATCTCTGTGGCCCTTCTCCTGGCCTCACCTCTGTGCTCATGACTCCCAGGCAGCCCCTGCCTCAGCTTACCCCTCATGGTCCTGTGATCCCAGGACCACACGCCTGTTCCCTGCCTTCCCTACACACCTGCCAGGCGTTTCCACTCTCCTCTCCTGGGCACCCTCTATGCCAACGCTGTCCTGGCCAAGCAAGTGCCTGGCCTCCCCGTTGGGCCTTGTTCCCCAGCTAACCTTGACCTTTCCCTGCACTGGCTCACTCATGCCCGGTCACTGCTGCACTCCTGGCCTCCCCTCAGAGTGTTACCTGCCAAAAGCCTTCCCTGGCTGCCCCTTTGGTTGCTCAGAGGATGTCAGGGCTGGCCCAACCCCAGGGTTCAAGCAGCACAGCCCTTCCTCCAAGTGCAGAGAGAGACACAAAAGTCTGGCACATCCCCTGCCTCGCCCCAAAGGACCTGTTGAAGGTGGAGCTGGACCTGGCAACCAGGGCACCTGCTCCTTCGTGCTCATGCCAATTCTCTGGGCCACGGCTCTTCCCGGCCCATGCCTGTGAGCGAGTCCACTGCTCCCCAGGCCATGGGATGCCTGGGGACAGAGCACACCTCAGGCCTTATCCATGTCCACCTCACCTCACCTCGCGTTCCAGGGATGTCCCTCCCTTCCCTCCTGGGTGTTCCTCTCACAGCAACCACCCAGGGACTGGGTCCCTCGCATGCATCGACCTCCACCAGGCAACAACGCCACAGTTGCCTTCGTGGTCTCTCACGTGGGTGGCAGCTCGTTGCTGCAAGCTGAGGGAATCTTGGTTCGGGTCCCTCCCTGAGACCGGGACTTGGGTGCAAGGTGTAACCAGGGAGGTGACCCCAAGAAGCAGAGGCGAGGGAGCAGGAACCAGCTGGGAGGGGAGGGCAGCTGGGGACGGCAGGGCCTATGGAAGCACCCAGAGTCCTGACCCTCCCGGAGAAAGCCCTCTGCAGCGGGCAGGTAGGCTCCAGGTGACCTGTCTTCTCTGCAGCCAGGAAACGAAGCTGGGAGCAGCCAGGGGAGGGCACACGGGCAGCAGAGTCCAGCCTTTACCCCAGGACTCCTTTTCCACTTTTAAACCCACGCTCTCCAGTGGCGGTTTCTAATGCCAACGCTGCCACTGCCTGCATCGGTCCACCCTGCTCTGTGCTGCCTGCCACGTACCCAGGCCTCTCGCTGAGGCTGGCTGTCTCTGGGCCTTCCCCGCGGGCCCCCACCCCGCCCCTTCCAGGAGCCCAGACCACGGGGCCTGCTCCACTTCCCTCCTCCCCAGCTGGGGCACACGGAGCTCCTGCAACACCATATGTCCCGCTCTGGGGTCACTGGCACGGTGTCCTCGGCCCCCCTGCAGGTCCTGGGTCTGGCCAACCAGAGAGGCCCATGCCCACAGGTCAGTGTTGAGGCCTGGGGTTGGTCATCAGGGAAGCTGGGGCCCAAGGGTGGCTCACACAGGCCCAGGGCTCAGTATCTGCTGAGTCCGCTGAGAAAATTCTCTACCTTATGGACTCCAGCAGAGCGACTTTGAGGGGAAAAAACAAACTAGGATGCGGCTGGCCTTTGCCTTTGTGTATGGCTGAGGTCTGAGCTCTGTGGGGCTCCACAAGGGGAGACCACACCTTGGGCAGGAGAGTCCAGAGACAGGTGGGGACCCCGGTCTCTAGCCAGGGTTTCCCTCCCTCCTCGCTCCATGCCCACCCTGGGCGCTGCTGACCGTCCACTCGGCTACCAGGGGTCTGCAGTGTGCGGGAGCAGCAGGAGGAGATCACGTTCAAGGGGTGCATGGCGAACGTGACGGTAACCCGCTGTGAGGGCGCCTGCATTTCCGCTGCCAGGTGAGTCCACAGGTGGGAGGCCTGCCCCACGTCCACCAAGGTGCTCACAACCCCACCCCAGAGAGGTTCGGGCACCCCACCCAGGCGCCTGCTGCCCCATCAGGTGAGCCACTCTGCGCTCCATCTGCCCAACACCGCCCTGGCCCCTGTGAGCCGGGAGCTCAGCGGGGAGGTCCAGGCCTCTGCGGAGCAGCTGCCCTGGGGAGGGAGGGGCCTTATGCCCCTGCAGCAGTCATGACCCTGCTCTGTCTTGACTTCTCGGCAGCTTCAACATCATCACCCAGCAGGTGGATGCCCGCTGCAGCTGCTGCCGCCCCCTCCACTCCTATGAGCAGCAGCTGGAGCTGCCCTGCCCCGATCCCAGCACGCCTGGCCGGCGGCTCGTACTCACCCTGCAGGTGTTCAGCCACTGCGTGTGCAGCTCTGTGGCCTGTGGAGACTAGCAGGGTCGCTGCCTGCTCTCCTGGGGCTGAAGGACTGCAGATGACAGACAGGAAAACACCCACCAGCCCCCTTCCCGCTTGTGCCAGCAGCTGCTTTCCTGGTCACCAGGCCTGGCCCCCAAGTGCCCTGGGCCGTGGCTCCCTGGGGCACCGGTTGGAGAGGGGCTGCCAAGCAGGGGCTCAGACTACCACACTCCTGCAGACCCTGAGCCAGCAGAGAGGGACTGAGGCGGACAGTGGTCACGGACCTCCCAGGCACACAGGGCACTCCCGACCACCCCTGCCCACTGTCCAACACCTCCCAGCCCCTGAACTTGGCCCCAGCCCTGCTGGGCCCAGAACCCTGCAGATGAAGCCACAGAGCAGGCGCTCGACCAGACCCATCAGGGGCGAGGAGGGCACGGAAACCTGTGCCGAGATGGGGGCAAGAGGCCCAGGCAGCCACCAGCACAGAGAAGAGGAGATCCCCAGAGTCAGGGAGGGCAGAGGGTGGCAGCGAGGGCAGGGCAGCCGCCCCCGCTCCCAGCCAGGCAGAAGGCCCCCACCAGCACCACACCCATCCCCAGCAGCCTGTCCTTGGGAGAGGGCGTCACCCGGTCAGAGACTCCAAATAAACCGGTTCTTGTCAAGGCACAGAGGCTGGTCCCTGAGCACTGCTTTTGCCTCTCCCCAGTCCCTTAGTAGGCACCCGACCCACATCTGCACCCTGTGGGCCCCTGGGATCTGCAGTTGGGCAGGGCTGCCCCCAGCAGGGTCTGGGCTGGTAAGAGAAGCTGCCTCTGGCTTTGGGCCCCTGCCCTCCCTCCATTAGGACTGTTCCGTCTCTGGCGAAGCCCACCGTCCTCCGGGGGCCACCCCCATCTGCCCGAGAGCCCCTTCTGCACCATCTGTGGTAGGATCAACTGGAGGATCCCCACGGGGCCTCCCGTTCCCCAGGAAGGAGCCCTGGGCTGCACCTCAACACACTGTACAGTGGGGAGCCCTGCGGCCACGCTGGAGGGGTTCCCGCATGACCTGAGTCCCAAAAAGCTCCACCACACACCCAGAATCAAACCGGCGGAGCAAAGGGCAGGTCACTTTCTGATGCCCGCTGCCCGTGAGCCCACTGCTGAAGGACAGGTCGGGGACCTTGGGGTCTGTGCCTCACGCGACCCCCGGGGAGCTATGAGGGTTACATGGGATGCTTTCCCCCCAAAGAAAGCGCGTGATCCGGGGTGCAGTTCTAGCCTTTATTTTTCTTTGACGAGGAGTGCCACACTGAGGGCCCCTCTGCAGCGCCGCACAGGGAAGCGGTGCCTCGGGGAGCAGCCTTTCCTCTGATGGCGGGAGGGGTCAAGGGATGCAGGAGATCCACGGCAGCACACGCAGCCTGCAGGCGCAGCACACAGGCAGAGCACTGCCCAGCAGCTGGAACATGAGAATGAGGGCCACACCACCCAGCTGCAGCACAAGCCCAGCACGGCGTGTCACGGCACCTGGCACCACCAGACCCAGAATGGCCTGTGCGAGAGGCGCACGCCACTGACGTGGCTATGCTGTGATCAAAGCCCGACACGCCGGAAGAAGAGCCGCAGACATTGTGGGGTGCACACACTGCAGGGGAGCTGTGGAGACCCTGATGGGTCCGTGAGCCCCTGCAGCTGCCCCAGGGACCCGCACAGCAGGCAACTGAGGGCCAGGGTGAAAACCCTCAAGCACATGTGGCCACCCACCCTCCCTGCCTCCACAGCATGTCAGGAAGCCAGAACCTGTGCTGGGTGTGTTTAGGACAAACAAGGCCACCATCCTGGGGACAGAGCGCAAGGCCCCAGCCTTGGCTCCTAGGCCGGCCCCACTCTCTCGCCTCTCAGGTGTCAGACGTGCAGCCTGGGTGCTGAGTCCAGATGACAGGTGAGACACAAGCCGCAGGTGGCACATGGCATGCGGCCAATGGCCCCTTCACTTCCTGACCACACAGAGGCGTCCTTCCTCCACAGCCCCTCCAGGGACGACTGGACGGGGCCGGTGGAAGGACTCAGGCCTGCACCGTGGCCTGGGGACGCCCACTCTGACAGGAAAGAGACGAGCACACCTCTGAGTCTTGCGCCACCGGCCCACACTTTACCCTGGAGTCCTGGGGGCCCTGCGGGGCCGGCAGGACGCTCCTCCCCTGGCTGCACATCCAAGGCCTCGGCGACTGCAGGAGCATAACAGACGCCCTTCACAAACAGGAGCTGGGAAAGGAGAACAGTTACATCCGGCCAGGACACGTGCTTTTGCCAGAAGTCATTACAAATACAAATGTTTCTAAATTCTAGATTAAAATCCTGCCTGGGAAAACAGTCCAGCTGGGACTGCAGCAAAACCAGGGTCAGCTGTGCTCCTCCCAAGGGCCCAGGACGACGCCAGGTGTGCAGCCACCAGGACGGCCACACACCAAGGCTCAGCCCACGCCATGCACAGTGGCACTGCTGCTCCCAGAGGCTCCGAGGCGGGGTGGGCGGCAGCACGGGCCATCTCAGTGACACTCCCACAAACGCCACGTTCACGCCAACTTCTAATTTCCCTTTAATTTGTAGATTTAACCACAGAACTGTCTCGATTTTTATAAAAATTGATCCCAAGATCCACCTTCTGCCGTGGCTGCCACAGTCCAGGCTGAGCTTTTCCTCCTGAGCCACACACGTGTGTTCCCGTCCAGCCCAAAGGGGAGAGGTGTGGGGCGGTGGGGCGGGGAGGCGCCTTGTGCTGTGGCACTGGACACGGTGCTCATCTGCAGGATAGCCACGAAGACAAACGGCACAGACGAAGACAACACAAGACACACGAGCCTGGTCTTCCATCCTCAGGACTAAAACTGCGCTGAGAGCAATTCACATAATCTCTGAGAAACGGCTTCCTTACTTGTGCGCAGCGTGAGCCGGTACATCTGAAACAGAGAGCACAGCAGGTCAACGGGCACGCCGAGGCTCACACAGCCCTCGGGTCCAGGATCCGCCATGCAGAACCCTGTGGGCCATGCCCAGGGACCACTCTCTGGAGGCACCCACAACTCGGCAGAGGCCTGAGCACCACACACACTGTCAGCATGAAAACTGAGGGCTGGCATGGGAGCGCCTGGCGTCTCGTACGTAGCTGGCGGGAGTGCAAAGTGGCACGGCCACCTGGAGAAGCTGTGGGATGTTCTTGCAGCACTAACCACACACAGGCCCTGGGCGACAGCAGCACTCCTGGGTGCCACCCAAGTGAAACGGAGACAGGTGTCCGTCGCCAGAACGGGACGTGGTGAGAAGGAACAACGCGGTGACAGAGAGGAACAGCTGGGAGAGCCACCGCCCAGGGCCAGGCTGCTCCATGGTGGGACGATGCTCCACGGTGGCCAGCTGTGGGGAGGCTGGGATGCAACCATGTATTGACAGGGTGGTGGTTAAACAGGCACACAACATCTGTCACAACTGACTGAACTGCACTAGGGATGATGCTCCACGGTGGCCAGCTGCGGGGAGGCTGGGAGGCAACCATGTATTGACAGGGTGGTGGTTAAACAACATCTGTCAAAACTGACTGAACTGCACTAAAGAGCTACGCATCTCACCACGTACATTGTGCCAGAATAAAAAGCAACTCAAGTGTGTTCCACCATTTCCTGAGGGCCTGACCTGGGCTTGCAGGTTCGGCTCCAAGCGCAGCAGGCATCCAATCTGGGTGGTTTTCGTGTGGATGATTCCAGCTCCCACGAAATTCGCAGGATTAGGATCAACTTCTTCAAGAAGTGCAGAACCAAATCCAATGATCTGTCCAAAGAAACAGGAGAATGAGGACCCTGGCGCGGGGTCGCGGGCAGCGTGTCCCCCAGGGCCGCCCCTCCAGACCCTGGCGCTGGGTCGCGGGCTGCGTGTCCCCCGGGGCCGCCCCTCCAGACCCTGGCGCTGGGTCGCGGGCTGCGTGTCCCCCGGGGCCGTCCCTCCAGACCCTGGCGCGGGGTCATGGGCTGCGTGTTCCCCGGGGCCGTCCCTCCAGACCCTGGCGCGGGGTCACGGGCTGCGTGTCCCCCGGGGCCATCCCTCCAGACGTGTTACCTTGGCTTTGGTGACTTCTGTGTCCATTGGGTGCTTTGCTTTGAAGATGTTCTGCACTTCCTGCTGTGGACTGTGAGAAACAGCAAAGGCGAGTGTTCTCAGCCAGGCCAGAGACCAAAACCCACCTTTTCAAATGAGCCCCGTCCCCACCCCTGACCCCTACAGGAAACAGGTTTCTCACTTGCTCAACTGCTTCCAACGTTGAAAGAAATCCTGAGAAGCCATTTCTGTCGGCTGGAAGAATTTGTTGAGAGTGATGGGCAGCTGCACAGACACGTTCTGGAAGGTGCCCCCATACCTGCCAGCAGCAGCAGCAGCAGAAAGAGACAGTCAGCTACTCCTCTGAGAGCCCCAGGGACCGGGAAAGAGCCTGGAGTGAGAAGCGTCCCGATCTACTGCCACCCACCAGAGCGGGTCGGGGGGCCGAGCCTTCAGTCCCCACGGATCGTGTGTGGCTCAGTGTCCAGTGTCACCCACAGACAGGAGGACAGGCCAGGGCCGCATACTCAGGCAGGACGTCCCTGTGCCTCACTTCTCCCCATTCATCTGTTTCCCAGAACTCCAAGTCTGTGCAAATAGTGTGATGTTTTTTCTTTAAAAAGGCAAAGGCATTTGCACAAAGAATGAAACAAAAACTTGCATGTCTATGTCCCCGAATTCTACAGTATACAATCTTAAGTTCTCTGTCTTTTTAATGTTAGAAAGTGTGCTTTTCTCAACATTCCTAACCTTGCAGACACCCAGCAGGGGACGGGCTGACTGTATCCACGCTATTTGTAGTCACTGAAAAGTGAGAGTAATGAACAGTCGCAACAGGAAAATCCTATGCTTTTAAAAAATAAGCAAAGTGGTACGATCTGAGCTCAACTGAGCAAAAAACGCGCCCCCCAGGCCAGGGGGCCGAAGGAAACCAGCTGCCTGCACCCCACAGCTGTCGTCTGGTACCAAGCCGGGCAGGTGGCGCGGGGGCCCTGGCTGTCTGCCACCCCATGAGGTGGGCCCCATGGTGCCCAGAAAGATCCTAGCAAGGCCCCATGTGGGAGCTGCCACCTGCCGTCCCGGAGCCCAGGGCTCCGCCTCCCCTTGTTTCCTGCGCTCTGCAGAGCCGGGGGCAGCAATAGCTCAGGCCGCATCCATGCACCGTGAGCACCCGCACGCCCCGGGTCCCCTCAGGAAGGACACGGAGGCACAGTCATGGAGCCCAGGCACACAGCTCAGGCGCCCACACACCCCTTGGCCCGGGGCGCACAGGCGGCTCTTACCTGAACTGAATGTTGAGGACTGGCGCCTCCGTGAAGTCGGACACGCACTCTATGTTGACCACCTGCTGCACCTGCGCGCCCCCCTCCACGGTCGGGTCCACGGGCTTGGTCTGCAGGTTCAGGTGTGCGTGCGTTAAGGAATCCAGCTGAGCAAGTCCCAGTGGCAGAAGCGGAAACGGGCCGGGCTAGAGCCCCAGCAGGACCCGTGGAGGCGAGCACACTCACCACACTCTAGGACCACCAGCTACGGGTCGAGGGCAGCCACACCACCCGGCCCTGCCCTTCCACCCAGACAATCCTCAAAACACTGTCTGCTTCTCACGCTTCCAGAATGGCTCCTCCATTTTAAAAAGTCACTTAGATTATATACTACTTGTCTGTTTTCACTCTGAGCCTCGGCTCTGGGTCTTACACACACAATTTTTGTCACCGTTAGCAGAAACTGGTGCTTAGTAGGGCAGGAAAACTTTAAGAATCCCAGGAATAGCAGGCTCCTGAAACAGCGAGACACAGAAAAGAGCCTGCCCTGCTGGGACCAGGGTTGTTTTCATGCTGGAAAACAAGGGTTTGCCTACAGCCTCTCCTGAAGAAACAGTGACAGCAGCAAAGCTGGGTCCAGGAGGCAGCGGGGTGCAGGCCTCTCCTTCCCTCTGGGTCGTGTGCCGCCGGCCACTCAGCTGCTGGGCTCGCTGCCGCCTCGAGCCAAGTGGACCCCGAGGGAGAGACCCCTAAAGAAGGGCGCAGTAGGAGTCAGAGCTTCCACTCCAGATTCCAAACAAAGTCTTTAATACAGGTGCTCCTGCATGTGTATTTTTAATGACTGTTTTGAAACAGCTTGAACAGTCTGCATTAAAACATGTTCATGTTAAAATGAACAGACCAGCCAGTGGCAAGGAGGATGTTGCTTCACTCAGGTCGCTGACCATAAATCCCCAGGTGTCACCATCTCTGGTCAAGCTGGGGTCTTCACGCTAACTCTATTTGGCGGGCCTATCCTTAGAGGTAGAGACGTTAGCGTCTCCCTGTTTTAGCTGGGGAAGTTCTAGGAACGCTTCTGGCATTACGAAGGGAAAATCTTCAGTCTAAAAGCTCTGCCAGAAGCACACACAAGCTCGGCTGGGGTGCGCACCGCGCTCCAGTCCCCACTGGCGCCTCCCACACTCTGCAAGCAGCAGCTCTGTGAGGCTTCGGAGAGGAGGGGTTTAAAGATCACGTCACAGGAGAGTAAGAGCAGGTGAAAAGGAAAGGGACTCACACTGGCCAGATGGAAGGGGAGGAGGCATGTACACGGTATTTTTAGGTGCATGATCAAAAGCTGGCTCTCCAATATGGAAGACTGCCTGTTTTCCTTCTCCTGCCCAGCACCATAGGCAGATTACGACTGCCTGATTTTCATATAGCATCTGGAATTATCTCGCTATTTTAACAAAATAAGAAAACCAAAAAACTTCCTCAAAAGCCTCCTCTAAGCCCCACATTATGCTGTCTGCGGGCATGGGGCAATGAAGCCAAGGATATTAGGCTGAAGGTCGTCTGAACAGATTAGTGTTGGGGTAAAGTTTAGGAACTGCGTGGAGGTCTTATTACCATAAAAGATAAACATCCGACCTAGAAGGAACAAAAACAATTTTTTCACACACACCATTTCACACTTACCCTGAATATTTACCCTGAAAAACAAGAGCCCCCCACAATCTTCAGCTGAATTTAAGTTCACTGTTGTGATGTATGACTGTTGTTAAAATTAAGAACAAATTTTTTCCAGTTTTAGAACGAGCACACCAGTGCTGGTAACACGGGCCGGGTATCTCCTCCAGTCAGAGGTAACTTCCGCCCTCCAGCACCCTCCTCCCTCGGCCCCTCCTGCGCACCCACACGGGATGGGTGAGATCACACGCATATGCACGGGGAAGGACCCACAGAACGCCCCGTCTGCAGGCTGGGCTACAGCTGGAGGGGCCTGCCAAGCATCTTTTCCAGGGACGCCACAATCACACAGGCCTCTGCCGGCCCCGCCCCATGACTGCAACATGCAAACACACGCACCGGCCCCGGCTGCCTCCTGTCAGGGGACCCGGCTGGGCACGCGTCCAGCACAGCATCGGTGTTGCACACTAGCCCTCACTGCAGCGGCTCAGCCACGGCACAGGTGCACATTTAGGATGTGTCGCTGTTTTTATTTATATCACAGTAAAAAATCTTTGTGAACATCTGTATACCCCTTGAATTCAGAAAGGAAATCTCAAATATTTTGAAAACAGTAAACAGTTTGGCATCACTCCTCCCACAATTTAAAAACCCAAAACCAACACCTCGTGAAGCTATCACGGCCCAGAGCTTAAAAACTTAAACCAGGACTAAAGGCACCACCTGTTTTCAATGCAGCGTTTCCCACAGGAATCACTCTGACAACCCTCACTTTTCTAACAGACCCCTGGCGGGCAGAGGACTAATTCTCTTTTTTCACATTCTTTCTGTGTTTTTCACAGATGAGAGAGAGAGCAGTCCTGAGGAGGCTCAAGGCAGGCGCTGAGAGGAGGCAGGTCCGCAGCCAGGGCCCCTGCAGCCACAGGGTTCCGTGCACAGCATTTTTTTACACTCAAAGGCTTTTTTATGTCTTTCTCCTAAATTGTGGTAAAATACACTAACATTCACCTTCCTAGCCATATTTAGGTGCACACAAGGGCACAGGAAGTGCATCCACACTGTGCAGCTGCTGCCACCACCACCATCTCCAGAACGTTCTCATCTTCCCAAACGGAACTCTGTCCCCATTAAACACCAATTCCCCATCCCCCTGGCCTAGGCCCTGGCATCCCCCAGCTACGTTCTGTCTCTACGAAGTCACTGCTCTAGGGACCGCATGAGTGGAGCCACACAGGATTTGTCCAGGTGTCTGGCCCGTGTCACTGAGCACCATGTCCTCAAGGTGCATGTGTGCTGCTTTATGCATCAGAATTTCATTCCTTTCTGCCGTTTGATGGCTGAATAATATTCCACTGCGTCGACAGACCACATTTCGTTTAATTAGGCATCCACCCATGAACATCTGGGCTGTTTCTAACTTTCGGTGATTGTGAATAGTGCTGCCATTGGACATGGGTGGACAGGTACCTCTTTAAGACCCAGCTTTCAATTCTCTGGGGTCTGTACCCAGACGTGGAACTGCTGGGTCACAGAGTAATTCCATCTTCTTTTGTGTTCTGAGGAACTTCCCACAGTGCCCGCACTACTGTACATTCCCACCAGCGGCGTACAAGGCTCCAACGTCACCACGCCCTGCAGACACTCTTTTTCCTTTTTGGTTATTTATGCATACATAAATAATGATGTATGCATTATTTATGAATGAATGAATGAACGACAGGGTCTCGCTCTGTTGCCCAGGCTGCAGTGCAGTGGCAAGATCTCAGCTCACTGCAGCCTCAAACACCTGGGCTCAAGCGATCCTCCCACCTTTGCCTCCCAAGTAGCTGGGACCACAGGTGTGCACCAGCACGTCTACCTAATTTTTGTATTTTTTGTAGAGATGGGGTCTCACAATGTTGTGCAGGCTGGTCTCAAACACCTGGGCTCAAGTGACCCTCCCACCTCGGCCTCCCAAAGTGCTGGAATTATAGGCCTAAGTCACCAGGCCACCAGGCCAGTCTGTTTATTTATTTATTTACAGAGTCTCACTCTGTTGCCCAGGCTGTAGTGCAGTGGCATGATCTTGGCTCACTGCAACCTCCGCCTCCCAGGTTCAAGTGATTCTCCTGCCTCAGCCTCCCAAGTAGCTGGGACCACAGGCACACACCACTACACCCAGCTAATTTTTGTATTTTTATTAGAGACAGGGTTTCACCATGTTAGCCAGGCCAGTCTCGAACTCCTGGCCTCAAGTGATCTGCCTGCCTCGGCCTCCCAACATGCTGGGGTTACAAGCGTGAGCCACTGCACAGGCTGCTTGTTTGTTTTCTAACAGCCATCCTGGAGGGGTGAGGTGGTAGCTCACTGTGGTTTTGATTGGCACTTCCCTCGTGACTTTGTCCATCTTTTCAGGTGCTTATTGAGCATTCCTGTATTTTCCCTGGAGAATGTCGTCTTTTCAACAACTTTGCACCCACCCCCACCTCCCCGCCACCCCCTCTGGTTGTAGAGATGGGGTCTTGATGTG
This sequence comes from Homo sapiens, assembly GCF_000001405.40. NCBI lineage: Eukaryota > Metazoa > Chordata > Mammalia > Primates > Hominidae > Homo > Homo sapiens. The sequence goes on along the minus strand of NT_187656.1, from coordinate 66,722 downwards.
TTTGCCCAGGCTGTTCTTTTGCCCATTTTTTAATTGGGCTGCTTTCTTACTGAGTTATGGGAGTTCTTTTTATATTCTGGATATCTATCCCTTATAAGTATATGATTTGCAAATATTTTCTCTTAATTTCCCATATTTCTAAGAGACAGTTTCATTAAGTAATTAAAACACATACCTAAATTCTGCCGAAATTCAGACTTAAGTCCAATTTGAAGCAGCTGGTTTTCAAACAACACACCATTGTTTTTACAAACAAACCTAGGGGAAAAGGGACAGTATATGTGTCACTCAAAGCCACCTGCAGAAAACACAAGGGTTTGTTCTGGAAAAAAACTCACAGCACGAGGAGGCCAGAAAAACCTCTATGGCACACAAGGGAAGAAAAAAGTGGAAACTATTCCAAGGACTATCCTGACAAACAGCCACTGGAGGAGGACGGTGAGCAGGACGCAGGGACGCGGACACAGCCCCGGCAAGACCTGTGAAGTTGGTTGGTGCAGCTGCTTTTCAGGAACATGCTGGTCCACATGTAACGGCCTCTCACGGCCCCAGAAGGGACACGGGCGTGAGGCACGCACACAGCTTCTGGCCCCACCACAGACTCCATCCAACACGGGTGCTGAGCTTCCACCCAGCGAGGGCCTCGCCATCAGAGCCTGGCTGCTCCCCGCTGATGCACACGCATGCACGGGCACCCAGCCATCCACCCACCAGCAGCACAGCCCTGCAGGGCCCTGGGCGCCCCCATCTCCCCTCTGGCCTCTCCTCTCGCCCCATGCGTGGTTAGTGTCTACACCGCACAGGGAGCCCAGGGTTTTGCTCACCACAGGGCACCTATCTACACTACACAGAATTAGGGGAAAATAAAATAGCGTTGGTTAGCTTTCATTTGTGTTTCTCTCAGAAGAGCTTCAAGTTTTCTGACCTCCTCTAGGAAACTGTAACTCCACAGTGACCTAGATCCAAAAGAGAGGAGAGGGAGGCGGGGCAGTGGCACAGGGCTCCTGGGTGAACCCAGCACAGAGATGGATGTGGCACTGATTCAAACCACAGGGTGGGGAGGCAGGAGGTCATGGCACCGCCCCCTCCCTCCAACCCACCCCAGTGCCTAAGAAGCAAATGCTGCACGGCAGCAGCCTAATTCTGAAATCTCCACCTCCACCTGTGCTGACATGGCGGCGATCAAGGTCAGCCACTCCTGCAGCCAGTCTCCACTAACTGCACCACAGCTGCCACCCTGGAAGGTCTGAGTGCTGCCAACCTTCTCATCGGCATCCTGCTGTATGGAGACCAGGCCAGGAAGACAGAGGAAGCAGCAACAGACGGCAAGGGGCAGTGACAGGCGGCCCTTGGCTCGCTCTTGGGGCCAGGAGGGCGCTGCTCGCCACGCAATGCCCCACTCCAGCCTGCCACGGCCACGAGAGCCGCTGAGGCAGCAGTCCCTGCGCACACCTCTGGAGGCCACAGCCGCCCCCTGCACAGCCCGGCAGGCTGCTGGTCCGGCTGCAGCCACATGCGAAGCTTCAAAAAGTCAAGTGTGGTCTAAGCAACACACAACACAGGACAGCGATCCACAACACAGCCTGGAACATGTCTACTGGGCTTCACCTGGGACTGCTCACAGCAGGCGGCTAACAAAGCAGAGATCGCTTAACAGGAGGAGCCGGCCGAGGCGGAGGTCCACGTGCTCACCGCACCCCCGGGTCGCTGCTCCGCCCACAGCCAGCGGGCACTCCACGCGAGGGGCCACGGAGTTTACACTCAGGGTGTGGACTAAGCCACTTTAAAGTAAAATCTGTCAAGAACACGGGAGGGGCTCTGACGGACCACCCATGACGTGACAGAGAGGCCCTTGTGGTCAGTATCTCTGCTTGGTTCATCCCAACTACAACCTGGCCTGGAGGAATCTTTGGGGAAAATGCAAACCACTCTGCAAGGCCATGAGAATGCAGCCGCCCTGTCCTGTGAGCCGTGTGCCAGCAGCCACCACAGCCGGCTCGCCCTGAGGCACTCTGTGCCTCCATCCTACACCAAACACACGCAGACACCTGATGACCCTCTGTAGCCAGATCAAAGCCAAGACGGCCGCATGCACAAGAGCCCCGAGGCCTGGCCAGCTGCAGACAGCGCCACCCAATGTGAGGCGTGCACAAGGGCCATGTGCAGCTCCCAGCACAGCCGTATGGAGACAGGGCAGGCAGCGCCCAGCAGGGAAGGGCCACGGCTGCCACGGACTGCCCAGCCCCTGGTCCCTTCCTGCCACCAAGACACTGAGGAGCAGCCACCACCAGAGCCCTGCAACCTGGATTCTCAATCTCAAACACAGCGACTCTAAGAGCAGTAAGACTGTTTTCAGCCCAAGCGGCGACCTGCACCCACCACCACGCCGGCCTGCCTCTCCTAAGTCCTTTCCCAACACGTAACAGGAAACAGAACTCACGTGCAACATGAATACAAAGAACTGAAAAACACCAGAACTCTATTACAGTCTTCAAAATGGGGGGCCAAAAGGCCATTCCTCAAAGGCTCTCTAACCTCCATCTGGGACAGAAACCGGCACCTGCGCTCCCACCCCACAGGGCAGCAGGGGAGAGGCGTCAACTCCAGGAAAGGGGGCACCTCAGACCTCCGGCCAGACATGAAAACAAGCAGATGGCTGAGAGCAGCCAGTAAGCGGAATGCACAGCTGATGAGCCCAGCAGAGAGGGCTGGGGAGAGCACGTGCGGGGGAAAGTGGTCAGCACCGACGATCTGAAGACCACGGAGACACTGGCAGAGACCACTGCACACAGGGAGCCGGGAGGTGCCCAGGCACCGGACAGAAATTAGAGCAGGACAAGCAGCAAAGACAGGCTGCCCTCAGGGGGAACCACAGGGTGGAGGCCGAAGGCGTGAGCAGGGTGGGCCTCACAGAAGGACTTAGCAAGTGAGCAACTCAAGGACAAGAGACCGGGCCTCCAGGACAGACACAGACAAGACGGCTTAAGTCAGAATGAAAAGCAGCCCAACTAGACAGGAAAGAGGCGAAGAGAGGAGACGTGTAGCTACAAAGAGTGTTTATCAACACTCAAACAGCAGCTGAAACATGATCGGACATCACCGTGCAGACAGGACACAACCACCACCCAGACAGTGTGTTTCTTTCATGTCCTCCTTTTCCTCCTGAGAGTAATGAACACTGCAGTCCATATAAATCAAGGTTGTGAGAGGAATGACACAGCAAACCCACCCACAACACAGCAGCTCCCGCTCTCTCCCCCAGGCAGTAATCTGGGAGGTAAACTCCGCTGCCCACCTCTGTCCAGCTGGCCGCGGCCACACCAGAAGTCAGGGGGCACGGCAGCCCCGTGCCTGTCTGCAGGACTCAGGAAACCTGACTACCTGGCAAAGTTGTCTTCGGAGCCAGGAGCGAGAGGCGCGACCACAGAGGCCGAGTCTGAGAACACGTCCACGAGCAGCCCGCTGCCGCCGGAGGAGGGTGGGGGGCCCGCGGGGGCAGGGGGGGCAGCCCCGAGACCCAGCAGGTCTGCCGACGGAGAAGGCGTAGACTGGAAGAGAAGGAAGGAGAGCATCAGCAGAGAGCCTCCCTGGCCTGGCCAACCCCAGGCAGCTCACGCCTGCACGTCCTCCCCCATGGCACCCCCTTGGCATCCATGCACTCCCAGTGGCTGGGGCAGGTGGCACACAACTCAGTGAGTGACCAGAGAGTGAGGGCTAACAGCCACTTCCTGAGTATATCCCAGACTCCAGCCTAAAGATAACTGCACTTAAAACATCAGTCATAATTTCACTAAGGCACCCTACATTTTTTCACAAATGCTATTTGAATGAAAAAAATTCTCAAAAAAATTTTGCCATGAAAGACATAAAAAAAGGCCAGACGCGGTGGCTCACACCTGTCATCCCAGCACTTTGGGAGGCCGAGGTGGGCGGATCACGAGGTCAGGAGATCGAGACCACCCTGGCTAACACGGTGAAACCCCATCTCTACTAAAAAATACAAAAAAAATTAGCCGGGCGTGGTGGTGGGCGCCTGTAGTCCCAGCTACTCGGGAGGCTGAGGCAGGAGAATGGTGTGAACCCGGGAGGCGGAGCTTGCAGTGAGCCGAGATCGCACCACGGCACTCCAGCCTGGGCGACAGAGCGAGACTCCATCTCAAAAAAAAAAAAAAAAAAGAAAGAACTAAGATCATGCATGTTACTGCCAACTGTCCAATAAGAAAGTAAGCTTCCAAAGATGAAAAAGCAAATAACTTACTCGGGTGCATTATTAATCATTAAATTATTACTAAATCATTATTAATCATTAAAAGTCTACAGAACGGATACTTTTAAAAAATAATTGCTTTTTGGCTGGGCATGGTGCCCCACACCTGTAATCCCAGCACTTTGGAAGGTTGAGACAGAAAGACTGCTTGAGTCCAGGAGTTTAAAACTAGCCTGGGCAACATAGCAAGAGACTGTCTCTGTTTTTGTTTTTTTTGAGACAGTCTCACTCTATTGCCCAGGCTGGAGTGCACTGGTGTGGGCTCACTGCAACCTCCACCTCAAGCGATTCTCCTGCCTCAGCCTCCCAAGTAGCTGGGATTACAGGTGGCCGCCATCACGCCCAGTTAATTTTTGTATTTTCAGTGGAGACAGGGTTTCACCATGTTGGCCAGGTTGGTCTCGAACTCTTGACCTCAGGTGATACGTTCACCTCGGCCTCCCATGAGCCACCGCACCCGGCCCCAGTAATTGCTCTTTGATCCTGGGGCAAAGGCACAAGGAAAGAGCGCCTATGATCTCATGATTAAACTCTCACAACAGGGCACAAGCAGCAGCTCAGTCCATCGCATGCTCACCCATCCAACAGGGCAGCAGGCTCCCCAGCAATGCCCCAGCAGCCTGACTTTGGGAGCTCAGACCTGCTCTGGGCTCCACGGGTCCTGCCCCACAGCAGCCTGTGCACCAGAGGGACTCAGATGCTCCCTATAAAAAGGACACCCAGCCTGGCACGGTGGCTCACACCTGTAATCCCAGCACTTTGGGAGGCCGAGGGGGGCAGATCCCAAGGTCAGAAGATTGAGACCATCCTGGCCAACATGGTGAAACCCCGTCTCTACTAAAAATACAAAAATTAGCTGGGTGTGGTGGCACACGCCTGTAATCCCAGCTACTCAGGAGGTGGAGGCAGGAGAACTGAAACCAGGAGGCGGAGATTGCAGTGAGCCAAGATCGTACCACTGAACTACAGCCTGGCAACACTCACACTTTGACACTATACACCAGGGGCTCTTGGTGGAGAAACCCCCCACCCAGCTAAGAGCGTTCTGGAGATGTGGAGGGCTCTGACTATCACAAGGATATTGGCATTTCACAGGCAAAAAACAGAGACACAAGACACCCTAACTTGAAGATTCGTCTTGAGTAACTTTAGAATGTTCCACTGGACATCTAAGAAGGTAAAAAATTAGTTTGTAATTATCTGAGACTCCACCTGAATGCCATTTTACATTAATGCAAAGTTAAGGTGTCACACTGTACTTTCAAAAAAACTACATGTGTGGGTTTGTGATATATGAATTTTACTCAAAGATAAATGAGGCATCACAAAGTGTGTTATGCAAAAAAGGTGCAGGTCAGAATGGGGGCGGGGGGTCAGAATGGGGGCGGGTGAGAGTCAGAATGGGGATTGGGGGGCAGTCAGAAACGGGGCAGGCTCCCAGGCTCTGCTCTTGTGACGGAGCACCTCTGCAAGAGAAGACGACACGGGTCTCATGTGCTCCAAGGGTGGGAGGTCACAGAGGAGCTGGCAGAGAAGAGTCCCAAAAATATCCAAGGCGTGTCTCGATGAGACCATCTGAAGGCGGCGCTTTGCTCCCTACGCCGGGGACAGCGCCCGCCAACACTGTGGCCTCCACAGCCTGACAAAGCTGTGAGCTGCGTGGGAAGCCATCGGCCTTGGCCATGGCCATGCACCTGCAGCCCAAATGGAGACAGTTTCTCCTCTGCATCTCATCACAGATGTTACCCTGGTTCCTGCACTGATTCAAATACATCTATGGCTTTTATTTTATTTTATTTTATTTTTTTGAGACCGAGTCTCACTCTGTTACCCAGGCTGGAGTGCAGTGGTGCAATCTCAGCTCACTGCAACCTCCGCCTTCTGGGTTCAAGCAATTCTCCTGCCTCAGCTTCCCGAGCAGCTGGGATTACAGGCACACACCACCACACCTGGCTAATTTTTGTATTTTTAGAAGAGACGGGGTTTCACCATGTTGGCCAGGCTGGTCTCAAACTCCTGACCTCAAGTGATCCGCCCACCTCAGCCTCCCAAAGCGCTGGGATTACAGGTGTGAGCCACCATGCCCAGCCATCTATGGCTTTTAACTGCTTTCTAAAGTAGGAAAGCCCTTTGCCCTAGTAAAGGCATTTGTACCTGAAACGTTACCACAGATTGTAACAGCGAGGCCAGATGCAAGGCCCCAGGACAGTAGGGTCCTAACACCCACTTCAGGTTCTTCATCTTCCTTATCCTCTCAGGCCTGGGAGACCCTCCTCAGGGAGCAGGCCTGGCTCCTGGGCCACACCAGTTCACCTCCTCCCTCCAATAGCAGGACAACTTGAGGGGTGAAGGTTTTGCCTACAAGGGCCCCAGGCTCCTGCATGTGAAGCCAGGCAGCCTCTGATCCCCACACCCCTGTGCTCCCCAGCACACCCGGGGACACGCACACCACAGCCTCCCCCAAGGAGCTGTGTGCAGAAAGAGGATGCTCGGAAGAAGTAAAATGTCCTGGCCTCATCTATGATGTTAAATAAAAGACATTTTGGCCAATGTGACACCAAGATAAAGCCACTGTCTCTCGTGGGAAAGGCACATGTGCTGATGCCACCCTGAGGCCCCTTCACGGCCCATACAGAAGACCCTGAGCAAGAAAACTTCGCCAGGAGTGTCTCCCCATAGGGAGGGGCCTCTCACTGGGGCTCCCGTGAGCAATGGGAACAGATTGGAAAGCACAGGATAGCAATGACACCCACACACCATAGCTCTCGGTCAGAACAGAGGGGCCCACACACCACAGCTCTCGGTCAGGACGGAGGCGCCCACACACCACAGCTCTCAGTCAGGACGGAGGTGCCCACACACCACAGCTCTCAGCTCAGAACAGAGCTGCGTGCCTCGGCCACAGACACCTCCCTAAGGAACCCACCCGCCAGGCACCACTGACCATCAGGAGTGAAGCCACACTCAGAAAATCCACTGAATGAGCCCTGAAGGGGGAACTCCCTCCAAGAAGGCACCTTACAGAAATGCTGAACCTCACTGGACCCTCATCCTCCTTTTCAGAGGGCAGCACACTGCTCTCACTCCCAGGGTCCAGAAGCTTCCATCTGATCCCTAAGCCACACAGTCAAGGCCAGGCCCTCCAAAGTCCACCCTGAGCCTAGCCGGACAAACCTGGGTGTGATCAAAGGCCTGGGGTATGGGCACACCTCACTTCTCAGGACCCACATTAAAAAGAAACATCAAATAAGAACCAAAGAGAGACTGAAGACAATCCTACAGCCCCTTTCCATGCTCCCTCAGCGAGTTCCTCTTAACGTCAAAGCAGCTGGAGGGGAGCGAGAGCACCTGGTGCCTTCCCAGCTTCCAACAGGCAATCCCAGGTTTCCGTGGAAGACTTCACAGTGCCCTTGCTGAAAGCCGGCCTCCAGGAATCCCTGCACACCAGCCTCCCCTGGATCACGTCATCCTGCCCTCGCCTCCTCACCCAACTGGGGCCGCGTCCTCCTCTCTGCAGGGCGGAGCCGCTGCCGGCCCAGCACCCACGGGAAGGCCCCTGCTCCGGCAGCTCACAGACAAATCTCCACAAGCAAGTTTCTGCCTCCAGAAACCTATGTCAAGATGTCCAAAGGAGAGGGAGAGATGGATTAGAGGAGTGACAGAGGCCTGCTGCACTAGGCGCCTGGCTAGTGACGTCCCACGGGAGGAGACAGGGTCAAAAGCAGGTCACCAGCTCTACAGAGCACATGAGAAACATAAGCATGAAGGTGCTCAGGCGTGAAGGGAAGACGCCCACCTTGGGAGAAAGAGTCACATCTTTCATTCATTTCATTCACTCCAGGATGAGCTCACAGGCAATTCAAGCCTCCAGATGGCGGGCACAGCAGCGTGCCACAAACAACACAGAGAGAGGGCACGGGGGGACAGGGGCTGCACAGAGGACACTAGGTGGAGGGAGGGGAGAGGGAGGAAGAGGGGGAGGGAAGACTGCTCATTGAGATGTCAGGCTCAGCCTGGATACCAGCCCCATGGCAGGCCCTGCACTGTCGGCCAGAGGGGCAGGACACATGGTCAGCCGGGGCACATAAGCAGGTCCCCGCCAAGGAGTGCCAGGACTCCGACATGAGCACCCTCCCAACCAGCACACTGCCAGGGCAGGCACCACCACAGGAGCTCACCCCACAAAGCCCTGCCGATACTGGGTAGCAGCACTGGTTGCCACCACTGGACCTGCGTCCTGGAGAGACAGGTCCTCTAACTGGACAAACAGAAAGCCCGCCTGACCCCGACAGGAGCCCTCCCTGACAGTGCAGAGGGGAACAGCTGGCAAGCAGAGCCAAGCAAAAACGCAACTCTCAAAACGACACTTCTCACCTGACAAATACCACAGGACACATTCTGTTACAGGATTATTCTCATCGCATCACACATACAAGGAAAACCAGACCTAACCCAACTCACTACATAAAACCTCGAAGAGCAGGGCAGGACAGGTCCTCTCTAAATCAACAAAGCATGTGAGGACAGCTGCCTGGGTGAGGCAGTCCTGTAGGAGAGGGGACGGCCACTTCCCCTAAAACAAGGCACCACAGAGGATGTGTGAGCTGAGCTGGACAAGACGACGGTCTGAAGGAAGTGCCTTGCCCAGCAGGCACAGTGGCCCCCGGGAGAGGACAGCGGGGTGTGCAGCAGGGACAGTGGCCCCCGGGACAGGCCAGAGGGGCGTCCAGCAGGGACAGTGGCCCCCGGGACAAGCCAGCGGGGTGTGCAGCAGGGACAGTGGCCCCCAGGACAGGCCAGGGGGGCGTCCAGCAGGGACAGTGGCCCCCGGGACAGGCCAGCAGGGTGTGCAGCAGGGACAGTGGCCCCCGGGACAGGCCAGGGGGGCGTCCAGCAGGGACAGTGGCCCCCGGGACAGGCCAGCAGGGTGTGCAGCAGGGACAGTGGCCCCCGGGACAGGCCAGGGGGGCGTCCAGCAGGGACAGTGGCCCCCGGGACAGGACAACGGGGCGTCCAGCAGGGACAGTGGCCCCCGGGACAGGCCAGGGGGGCATCCAGCAGGGACAGTGGCCCCCGGGACAGGCCAGCAGGGTGTGCAGCAGGGACAGTGGCCCCCGGGACAGGACAACGGGGCGTCCAGCAGGGACAGTGGCCCCCGGGACAGGCCAGGGGGGCGTCCAGCAGGGACAGTGGCCCCCGGGACAGACAGCGGGGCGTCCAGCAGGGACAGTGGCCCCCGGGACAGGACAGCGTGGCGTCCAGCAGGGACAGTGGCCCCCAGGACAGGACAGCAGCGTGTCCAGCAGGGACAGTGGCCCCCAGGACAGGACAGCGGGGTGTCCAGAGCCACAGCCAGAGCCTGGGTTCTCAGTACATGCTCCTCCCTGACAGGCAAATGCTCTGCTGGTCCCAAGTCTTGGGGGTGAGGCCCTGACAGGTCTGGGTGCACAGTAGGTGAGGGACCCACCACGGCGCTGGTACTGGCTGGGGCAGGCTCAGGACCCCCGTTCACGTCCACACTCCTGTCCCGCTTGGTGTCCTCCAGGTCTGTCACCGTGCTGGGGCCCTTCTTCTTCTTGAGCTTTGCCAAGATGGAGGACTCCCGCTCCGGGAATGGGGGCATCTCCTCCAGCACGGTCGCCTTGGAAAGAACACAGGGTGGGACTGGTCAGAGCTCCTGGCCTCCAACCCTCAGCCAAGCCAGCCCGAAGGGCGGGGGCCTCCTACCAGAATGTCGGTGCTGGCCACGGTGCTGAGCCGCAGGTACTCCACAGCACGCTGCTGCAGCTCCACGTCTGCGTTCCTGAGCTGGCTGTCGCTGCGCAGCACGTCCTGGATGGTGGGCTTCACCTCCGGGAAGAGGTTCACGAACTTGATGTAGGTGGACAGGAGCAGCGCGCGGGTGGGGACGCTGCACAGGTGGAACTTGGAGTGCAGCAGGTGGAACTGGATCAGCGGGCTGGGGACGGGGAGGCACAACACAGGGACACCGTCGTCCCCTCGCAGGCTGCAGCACGCCCCCGCGGGGGGGGGACGGCGGCGAGACCCCCTGGCCTGCACCAGAGGCCGCTGGTCGGGACCCTCTTCCAGCTCCAGATCCCACCGCAAAGACGCCCCTTTCACTAAGTCAGCCATCAACCCCACGTCTCCATTTTCTACTAGAATCCCTGCTTTTTCTATCAACTGAAGGAAAACAAAAAGACGCCGATGGGGAGCAGAAGCGGCTCTGCGAGGCCTCACGGCAGGGCCAGCTGGTGCCTCGCCTCTTGCCACCGACCACCGAGAGGCCCGCCGGAGCGCACACAGCCCCGACTCGCAAAGGGCCTCTCACCTGGATCTCGGGTCTCCAGCTATCAAGTTTCCAAACTCCCCCAGGATGTAGCCGCCCACTTTGACCAGGTTCTCGTGGCACGCGGGAGCCTGAAGAGCCTGCGAAGCACAAACAATGAGCCGGGGTGGCAGCCAGGTGCCAGAGTTAAGGCGAGGCGGGCACGTCCTGGCGCGGTGCACCCTACACCAGCACCAGCCCCTCAGCTTCCTGGAGACCCCAGTCCAAGTGCCCATCCCTGCCTTCCTCAGCACCCTCAGTACCTGTGTCAGCAGCAAGGAACCCAAGGCTGCCACACGCTGACCTGCCCTGGAGGGAGCTGCAGCATCCACAACAGGCTCTGGCTGGGGAGGTTCTGCCAGCGTCCTCATGGCACACCCCTTGCCGGTGGCCTAACCCTCTCCGACGGACAGGGCAGGCCCCACCACGGCATGCCCCAGCATGCTCTCACACACACAGAGGCCGGCTTTCTCAGGTGGCCCCCAGAGAGCCAGAAGTTTGAGAGTTAGGGTGAGAAGAAACTGGGACTCAGCAAGGGGCACCAACAGTGGAGGAGCTAGAGCCTCAGGGAAGAGCTGAGGGGCAAGAGGGGTCAGCAACGGCCCTCGGCACCTCCACGCAGGCAGGCTGGAACCACTCACTGCTCACCTTCTGCAACTGCCCTCCACCCCATCCTTCCTGCCATCCTGCGGGCCATACCTCGAACACAGTCTTGGCCGCGTAGCCCTGCACGTCGTCCCGGTTGATGACGATCTGAATGACTCGGTACCACACCTCTTCACTCACGTAATCACCAGCAATTCGGATCAAGTTCAAGATGGTATCCACATACCAGGTGTAGTCCACCGCGTACTTCTCAGCCAGGATGGCGACCTTCAGCACCTGTGGGGGACAGGCTGCTGAGGGCCGGCACCTGCAGGCCATGGCAATCCCAAGACCAAACTGTCGTCCAAAGTCAAAGTGAGAGTTTCAGAAGCACCTCAATGTGTCTACAAAAGTTTGGGACATGGAGGAAGCTTGAACTCGATTCTCAAAAAAGCCCACGAGCCCAGAAAGTTTAAGATGCCCTGACTTAAGCAAAGAAAGCCAGGAAGAGGCGGAGACCAGTGCACAGAAGGCCACGGCCACAGCCAGGCCACCTCCCACCTGGGCCCTTCTCTCCCAAAGCCCCAGCACCTGGCGGCAGCACTCCTCTGACCTCATCACCCTAGGCTCCCGGTGGCAGCACTCCTCTGACCTCTGACTGCGCCACCCTGGGCTCCCGGCGGCCAGTGACTGCGCCACCCTGGGCTCCCGGCGGCCACTTCTCTGCTGGTTTCTTCCGGCTCTGGCCAGTCTTTCCTGCGAGCCTCACCTGGGGGTTCCCCTTCTTCCCCTCTCTGGCTCACTCTCACGGGTGCCCCCCGGAGGCACCTGCCCAGCCCACACCCACGTGGCAGCCACCCACATGGAGCTCTGCCAGGCTGTACAACACCAAACTCATCTCCCCAAAGTCACCTCGCCTGGAACCAAGCCCCCTTCGAACAGCGCCAGCTGCCAACACCAACGCCAGCAGGCATCAAGACCGCGCACCTCCCGAGGGCACCCCTAATACCCTGCCGCCCCTCCCCACACCCTGCCGCCCCCTCTCCACACCCTGCCACTGGCCTCTCAGGTGCTGGTGACTGTGCCCCCCCACCCCAAGTCCCTGCCTGGAGCCTGGACCCCCAAACCCCAACCTGACTCCGTGACACTTCCAGGGCATCATTCCAAAATGTACTGCCTCTGAGCCCTACCCGCAGCTCACGGCTGTGCACCAGGGGCCCTCAGGCCTCACTGGCAGGGTCCCCATGTCTGCTTCCACCCCTGCCTCGCGTGCCCTGCTCCCCAGCCTGTGCTAAGGTACCTCCCACCCCTCCACGAACGGATGCTCTGCCCTCCCAGTAGCCTCTGCACCATCATCCTCTCCAGACCAGGCCACTATCACCTTCTGCAGAAGTCCACACAGCCCCCCAGGAGTGTAATGCCTCCTGAGGCCCCCAGAACATGAGGCACTTCCTCCAGCCATCCCACCCACAGCACAGCAACCCACGGTCCTGCTCTCAATCCGTCCCCCTCCATGGATGGCAAGGTGCCGAGTAGGCAGGGAGTGGGCCATGTCCAGTTTGGACACTTAGCACCTAGCACAGCCAGAGAACACGCCCTGCCATGCTCGACTGAAAGGACAGAGGGAAACACCATGCCCGGCTGAAAGGATGGAGGGGAGCACCATACCCGGCTGAAAGGACAGAGGGGAGCACCATACCCGGCTGAAAGGACGGAGGGGAGCACCATACCCGGCTGAAAGGACGGGGTGGGGGGAGCATCGTGCCCGGCTGAAAGGATGGAGGGGAGCACCATGCCCGGCTAAAAGGACGGAGGGGAGCACCATACCCGACTGAAAGGATGGGGTGGGGGGAGCACCATACCCGACTGAAAGGATGGGGTGGGGGGAGCACCATGCCCAGCTGAAAGGATGGGGTGGGGGGAGCACCATGCCCAGCTGAAAGGATGGGGTGGGGGGAGCACCATGCCCAGCTGAAAGGATGGGGTGAGGGGAGCACCATGCCCAGATGAAAGGACGGGGTGGGGGGAGCACCCTGCCCGGCTGAAAGGATGGGGTGGGGGGAGCACCATGCCCAGCTGAAAGGATGGGGTGGGGGAGCACCATGCCCAGCTGAAAGGATGGGGTGAGGGGAGCATCATGTCCGGCTGAAAGGACGGGCTGGGGGGAGCATCATGCAGGCCAAGACACAGCACCTGTCTTACTCCTCACAGCAGGAGCTGGCTGAGGATTGCCGCTCATCACGCAGAGGGGCGAGAGCAGACACCGGGCTGACGAATGCCCAGGACCTCAAAATCTGCACAACTGCACTCAGAAGCACACTGCTTCTGTCTCTGTTCAAAACACCCAGAACAACAATCAGGAACGAGGCTCCCGTGACGGCCGTCCCCAGAGCCAGCCCCACCCCACCACAAGTGCTGACACCAGGCCACACTGCCCCAGCCAGGCCAGAGAGGGACCACTGGCTACAGTCAACGAGCACCTGCCTGGCCCCTCTACAGACAGCCCTGCCCTACACCACGGTGCCTGCCCTTGGGGCCTCCTGCCGGGAGTCAGCCCACCCCGTCCCTGTCCCCCTCAACTTCCCAGGCCCACTGTCCTGGAGGGTGGACAGTCCAGCGTGAGAGCCGCCTCCTGGCCCCTGCTCTCTGCAGGTCTGCAGTGCCTCACTGAAGCTCAGTCCATGGTAATTTCACCCCTCAGCATTGAAGCCCCAGCACCTGGGCTCCTCCGTTCACTAAAAGACCCCTGAAAACCCGAGTCTCTCACCTGGGCATGACCACACAACACCTGCCCAGAGCAACCCTGTCACCTGCCACTAGCTCCAACACTGGCTCTCGGCAAAGCTCCCAAGGAGGCCTTGAGCCGCACTTCGCCCAAAAAAAACAAATAACAAAGCGCTTTCTATACAACGGAGGCGCTGTCTCAGCCTCAACAAGAGGCTGTGGTCCTGGCTGGTCACAGTGGCGAACCCCACGCGAGGACACCGGGCCTCCCCCTTAAACCCCACCATCCACAGACACGGTGAGCCTGAGAGGCCTGTGAGTGTGGTGGAGGCCTCAGGCCCTCTTCTCTGCTGACCATGTGGCCTCCACAAGGGTTTCTTCCCTCAGGTTTTGGTTCATGCTCAGTCTTTCACACGTACAGGTTTGATGAGCTTCAGCTATCTGGCAAGTGTGCACACCTACTTTGTGAATAAAAACAACACGGGACATTAAGCTATGGCCTAGATCCCGTCCTTCCCAGAGATCAAGAGGGACACCCAAAAAAGCCAAGCCACAAAGGATTAATTCAAGGGCTCAAAATGCAACACAATTAAAAGAATTTTGCCCACAGGAGTCTGGATTTGTGCAGCCCCAGCGCAGACGGCTGGAGCCTCACTCAGACCTGGGGCTACAGTGCCACCACTGCAAGGACAGGCAGGCCACAGAAGCCGCGCAGGACGGGCATTTTAGTTTTTTTTTTTTTGAGACAGAGTTTCGCTCTTGTTGCTCAGGCTGGAGTGCAATGGCGCAATCTCGGCTCACCACAACCTCCGCCTCCGCCTCCCGGGTTCAAGCGATTCTCCTGCCTCAGCCTCCGGAGTAGCTGGCATTACAGGCATGCGCCACTACGCCCGGCTAATTTTGTATTTTCAGTAGAGACGGGGTCAGGGTTTCCCCATGTTTGTCAGGCTGGTCTTGAACTCCTGACCTCAGGTGATCCGCCCGCCTTGGCCTCCCAAGGTGTACAGGCGTGAGCCACCACACCCGGCCAATAGTTATTTTCAAGACCAAACGACTCTACCAAAAATGCTGATTTTTTTTTAAGACAGGGTCTCGCTGTGTTGCCCAGGCTAGAGTGCAGTGACATGATCTCGACTCACTGCAGCCTCAACCTCCTGGCCTCAGGTGATCCTCCCGCCTCCACCTCAGGAGTAGCGGGGACCACAGGTGCCACCACACCCAGCTTGAAAATGTGGATGAAAACACAGAGGCAGAGGAGCCTTGTATTCAGCATCTCATGGGTTCTCAATCAAGTCCTGCTGGACGGAATCGCAGAGCACGAAGGAAATCCTGCCGCTGAGATTCACGCCTGTGGCAGGAGAGGACTCAGAGGCCACCAGAACTCACAATCTCTTCTCGGATGGAGTAGTCAGCTGTCTCCAGATAGCTCAGCATCTCGGCCACGATCTGTGGGGCGTTGCTGCGGTCGCACATGGCGTAGAGGAGGTCCACGGCCCGCTGCCGCACGCTCACGTCCCGCTCAGTCTGGGGAACAAGGCACAGAGTAAGAGGTCGCAGGAGCAAGGCACAAGCTTGGGGACAGGCTGGGGACAGGCTCGGCACCCGCATCTCAACACCCACTCTGAGTTTCCCTCACATGCACATCCAGGTCCAGGGAGCCGACCTGCACTCGGGCCACGTGTGTCTGGACAGCCCGGAATAGAGTTCCGCCTGCTGGCCCGGCCCTCCCGCACAGGCCAGCTTCGCTAGGACCCAGCGCACTGCCTGGATTCTGCCCGCTCGTCCATGCCTCCCTTGCCCTCCACAAGGGCCAGCTTCGCTAGGACTGAGCGCACTGCCTGGTGCAGGCCATCAAGGACTCCCTTCCATGCAGCCAAAGACCCCACTGCCTCGGACACGGAGCTGCCCCAAGGCAGGTCCTCACGCCCCACCCCAGAGCCCGTGCTGATGGGCCCCCAGGAGGCTCTGCAGCACGAGAAAGCCCGAGCTCTGCTCCCAACAAAGGCAGGAGAGTGGGCACCACCAGCGCTAGCACTGGCCGTGTGCAAATGAGTGTCCAGCCCTTCTGACAATAGGGATTGACTAAAACAAACACCAAAACCAGGACCAAGAAGAATCCAGAATACCAAATGCCCACCACGAGCCCCTTGCACACCACCCGGAATATCTGTGAGCTGCACGCAGACGTGCGGGGGACTGGGAGCAGCCCTGCCACAGCCTGAGGCTGAGCCAGATGGGGGACATGCAGCTCCCCGCCTCCCACTCCCTAACGCATGTGCACCGGTGACTAGGGACTTGGTGGACACACCGCAGGGTCCCCTATGTGGAACGAACCCTCGGGGTCGCTCTGGAGACTCGCAAAGGCTGGCAATGGCCAACCTCAACTGGGCTCTTCCAACTCTGAAATTTTTTTTTTTTTTTGAGACGGAGTCTCGCTCTGTCGCCCACGCTGGAGTGCAGTGGCGCGATCTCGGCTCACTGCAAGCTCCGCCTCTTGGGTTCAAGCCATTCTTCTGCCTGAGCCTCCTGAGTAGCTGGGACTACAGGCACCGGCCGCCACCACGCCCGGCTAATTTTTTTTTGCATTTTTAGTAAAGACGGGGTTTCACCGTGTTAGCCGGGATGGTCTCGATCTCCTGACCTTGTGATCCACCCGCCTCGGCCTCCCAAAGTGCTGGGATTACAGGCGTCAGCCACCGCGCCCGGCCCCAACTCTGAAATTTTAATCCCCGAACAAAGTGAGTTTCCTTTGTAAAAGGGGGATTTTCTTGGAGATAAGGGAAAAAAATTTCATCTTTCTACCAAGAAGAACCATTTCTACTTGTCAGCACTATGCACGCGCAGGATGGCACACGGGGGCTGCCCCCAGCAGGGAAAGGGCTGCCAGAGACTCCTCTGCTCAGCCTAACCAGGACAGCAGGGCCAACCCGGCCATCTCCAGGCAGCATGGCCCTCAACAGTGGTGTGACCTCCCAAGAGTAGGTGACAGGCGGAGGCCAGCAGCACCAGCACCACCTCCATCTCTGCGGGGAGTCAGGAGGCACTGCGTACCCCCAGCCTTCACAGGAAGACCCACGGCACCTGCTCAGGGAGTGAGCAGAACCCAAGGACAGGGCACTCGCCTTCAGGGCGTTGATGACCGTCTCGATGTGCGTCTTGACAGCCTCATGGGAGAACTCAGAGCTGGCCAGCGTGCACATGCTCTCCAGGGCCAGGTAGCGCAGGTTGGTCTCGCGGTGCTGCAGAAACTGGCCCAACTGGTTGCAGGCACGGACGAGCAGGTTCGGCTCACTGTGTGGAGGGAGGGGAAGTGGGTGGGGTTTCCTCAGCAAGTGCAACACAAACTGGACAGAGTCTGCGTTCCCCGACGGGTCCAGATGGCAGACAGCAAAGTCACACGGCACTCACCGCCACCACACTGCTCAAGTGGGAACTCGGGGGCCTCCCCAGATGCAGATGACGCCCGACCCCCACCCCTGACATCCATTTTGTGTCCATCCTGTGCATCCCCACAGTGAGTCAGCAGCCCGTGTGTCCACTGGAGCCTTCCCAGCACCTCCTGAGCCTCAATCTGCATCAGGCCCGCGGGAGGCCGGTCAAGCTGTGACCGGCAATGGGGTCTCAGCCAGAGGCACCAGCCCAGGGCAGGGAGAAGGCCGAGAAGGCCGGGAGCGCGGCTGCTGCCCCACTGACTCTACTGTCTCCTCAGGATGTGGCTTCTCCTCACATAACAACAGAGCTTTCTCCAAAATGGGAAATTTCAGTTTTAATAACTCTCAGTTCTGAAGTGTGACTCTCAGACTGAGTTTTCATCATTTGTAAAAATGCTGTAGTAGCAAATGGGTGGTGTTCACAAGCTGTAGAGAGCGTCTGCCCACAGCCTGGCACGTGCCCTCATTATTGGGAGCCTGGTGAGAACTGCGATCTCATTCTCACAGGACCCTAAAGCATGGCCCCACACGCAAGACCCACGCCAGACCACATGTGGTGCGCCGCAACTGCTGAGCAGAGAAGGCGTGGGAGCAGAGGAGGCAGACCCTCCAGGCTGTGTGGAGCGACCGCCACCCTGCGCCTCTGCGCTTCGTGGATGGGCACAGACGTTTCCAGCACTGCCCTGCGACCCTGGACCCACCAAGTGCGGCTCCACATCCAGCAAAGCCACGGGACATGCGCGCACACCCCCCACCCCACCCGTCTCCTCTCTGTTCCACTACATGAGAAGCCAGTCAGGAGTGGGGATGCTCAGGGGAAGGAGGAAAAGGCCCTCGTGTGGGATGAGACCACAGTCACCAAAGCAATCCACGGTGAGCTCAGAGCAGGAGGGGCCGGGCTGCACAGAAAGAAAAAAAGCATCCGGCAGGGAGCACAGAGGCAGGACGAAGGGGAGGCCCATGGAGTGGACAAACCAGACATGATCCGCCCAGTCTCGTGCCAACGAGAAGGAACGTGTGTGTGTGCGCGAGACGAAGCCTCTCCACAGGCAGCCGACACACCTGTCATGGTGAATGATTAAGCTGATGGCCTCGAAGAGCACGGCATTCTTCGCGTTGGAGTGCTGGACCTTCTTCGACTTGGGCGGTTCTTGGGCTTTGTTCAGGATGGTCTCCAGGCACTCAGTCAGGCGGCCTCGCACTGCAGGGTCTTCTGGGCAAGACAGAACGGTGCTCACCAGTCTCCAGTGGCCCGCAGCCCACCCTGCCCCTCCCGGCTGCACCCATACATCATGAGAGCATTTTTAATATAGTTCATTCACATTTGTGTACCCAGCTGGAAGCATTTACAAAACTGAGACAGGCCGGGCACGGTGGCTCACTTCTGTAATCCCAGCACTTTGGGAGGCCGAGGCAGGCCAGTCACCTGAGGTCAGGAGTTCAAGAACAGACTGGCCAACATGGTGAAACCCCGTCTCTACAAAAACGCAAAAGTTAGCCGGGTATGATGGCAGGTGCCTGTAATCCCAGCTACTCAGGAAGATGAGGTGGGAGAATCGCTTGAACCCGGGAGGCAGAGGTTGCAGTGAGCTGAGGTCGCGTCACTGCACTCCAGCCTGGGCAACAAAGGGAGACTCCATCTCAAAAAGAAAACCTGCACAAATCTGATACTATAAAAGCACAAATAGACCCAAACACTAACAAAACTGTAGGCTCTGCAATAACTGCTCCACGAAAGCCAGCGCATACAGCAGCACTGGCAGAAAGGTCCATGAATCAAGAGACAGGGCTAGTAACACACTTCTTAAAATAACAAACAAACCACTTAAATCTGAGACAGGGAATCAGACTGGCACTGGTGCAGCTTCAGGAGCCGCGGCCTGCGCGTTACCTGGGGGTGGGTAGCACTGCAGCAGTCTCAGCAGTTTGACAGACAGCCAGGGAGCCGGGACAAAATAGTAAGTGTAATCCTGGAGATCTGTGGATGCAGACGTCACGATCTGTAAGACAGCACAGGCAATGAGACACGCTGCCGGACACGAGCCCCTACTGCGGGGACCCAAAGAAAAGCCATACTCACTCCTCGGGTCACGCCTGAGCTGGAAAAATGGTTTTGTTTCATGTGCCAAGAGTGTCTGACACTGCTTGGTACCCCCTGGGTTCGCCGTGAGAGGGCTGCACTGTCACTCGGCAACACGCTGCCGCAGCTGAGTGGCAGCCCTCGCTCGGTACAAGACACCATAGCACCTGGATTTGAAACTACAGTCTTTCCTTTGTGGACCGGCACGTGAATGAAATCAGAGAGAGAGCTTTAGCCTCCTCAGAAGGAAGAAGCACCCCCACCCCCAGAAGCCGGCATTCTGACCCTACCCCACAACCCCACAGGGCCCCCCGACCACAGGCCAACCCAGATGGTGAGCTCACGGAGGCAGGGAGACTGCCCACCTCACTCACATCCCATCTCTGTGTCCAATGCGGCCTTTGGCTTGGCAGATCCTCCGTCAACCTCCTGAACAAGTGACAATCACGACTACCTCGCATTTCCACTGACATACAGCCCGATGTCTCCTGTTTCCCGGAGGTCAGGGTAGTTCCTCCCTTCCTACAAAGCTCACATGTGACACTTTTAGGCCGTAAGTGAACCCATTCAGAAAAGTTCACCCTGACTCCTACCCTAAACTGCAAGATGCCAGCCCAGACTTGGGTCACGGACTCCTGCTGCAAGGAGGCAAGCTCTAGGCTGTCAAAGACAAGGCTGAAAGGCACAAACACAAAGCAGGAAAAGGCAAGAATCACAGCACTTCCGTGACACACAGACACGGCCAACATGAGCTGTCTCTCAAACAAGTACGCACCTAAGGCCGGGCTCAGAGAGAAATGTACAGCCTTAACTGTATATATTTGAAACAAATATAAAGAGAAAAGCAACAAAAATTCATCTCAAGCGTTTAAAAAGAGACTAGGCCAGGTGCGGTGGCTCCCGCCTGTAATCCCAGCACTTTGAGAGGCCAAGGCGGGCGGATCACAAGGTCAGGAGATCGAGACCATCCTGGCTAACACAGTGAAACCCCATCTCTACTAAAAAATACAAAAAATTAGCCAGGCATGGTGGCGGGCGCCTGTAGTCCCAGCTACTCGAGAGGCTGAGGCAGGAGAATGGCGTGAACCCAGGAGGCGGAGCTTGTAGTGAGCCAAGATCGTGCCACTGCACTCCAGCCTGGGCGACAGAGTGAGACTCCATCTCAAAATAAATAAATAAATAAATAAATAAATAATAAAAAGAGACTAGCAAATTAACCCAAAGAAAGTAGAGGAAAGGAGTCCAGGTGCGGTGTCTCATGCCTATAATGCCAGCACTGTGGGAGGCCAAGGCAGGTGCAATCAATCACTTGAGGTCGGGAGTTCGCAACCAGCCTGGCCATTGTGGTGAAACCCCATCTCCATCAAAAATATACAAAAATTAACTGGGCGTGGTGGCGACGGCCTGTAGTCCCAGCTACTCGGGAGGCTGAGGTAGGAGAATCGCTTGAACACAAGCAGAGGTTGTGGTAAACCGAGATCGTGCCATTGCACTCCAACCTGGGCAACAGAGTGCGACTCCGACTCAAAAAAAAAAAAAAAAAAAAAGAAAAAGAAAATATGCACAGTTCCACAACTTATAAAATAAATTGAATTCATAATTAGAAAGTTTCACAGCCAGGCGCAGGGGCTCACACCTGTAATCCCAGCACTTTGGGAGGCCAAGGTGGGCAGATCACCTGAGGTCAGGAGTTCGAGACCAGCCTGACCAACATGGAAAAACCCCATCTCTACTAAAAATACAAAATTAGCCAGGCGTGCTGGCGGGCGCCTGTTAATCCCAGCTACTCGGGAGGCTGAGGCAGGAGAACCGCTTGAACCTGGGAGGCAGAGATTATGGTGAGCCGAGATCGTACCACTGCACTCCAACCTGGGCACCAAGAGCGAGACCCTATCTCAAAAAAAAAAAAAAAGTTTCCCACAAAGAAAACTGCAAGTTCAAATGTTTTTACCAGTTAATGATAAAAACTGTTTGACAAACTAGATAGAGAAAGGAACTTCTTTAATGTGAAGAGTACCAACGACAACAACAAAATTCTAAAGCAGACATCATACTTAATGGTGAAATATTCAACACAAAAAACGGACAACCCAGGGTAAAAATGGGTAAAAGACTCAGGCACTTCACAAAACAAGACACCCAAACAGCCAATCAACATGCAAAGTTGCTCAACCTCATTGATAATCTGGAAAATGTAGATTTAAATCTCAAAGAGGCCGGGTGCGGTGGCTCACGCCTATAATTCCAGCAGTTTGGGAGGCCAAAGCAGGAAGATTGCTTGAGGTCAGGAGTTCAAGACCAGCCTGGCCAACATGGTGAAACCTCATCTCTGCTAAAAATACAAAAATTAGCCAGGCTTGGTGGTGGGTGCCTGTAATCCCAGCTACTCTGGAGGCTGAGGCAGGAGAATCCCTTGAATCCAGGAGACAGAGGTGGCAGTGAGCTGAGACTGCACCACTGCACTCTAGCCTGGGCGACAAAGTGAGACTCTGTCTCAAAAGAAAAAAATAAAAAATAAATCACAGAGCTCCCACTATACACCCAGATGACTAAAACCCAAGAGACTAGCACTACGCGTGCCGCGCCCGCGCCTCCTGCTGCCGCTGTGAGAGCCGTGTGCACGGCAGGGGAAGCTGGTCTGGCAACGCCAGTCTCCTCAGGTTCAGGAGCCGCGGCCCCAGCTGAGCCATCTCGTGCACATGGAAACCAAGGGACATCCAAGACTGCTCATGCTGGAGGATTCACAGCAGCCTCAGAGGGCAAGGAGCTAAGTGTTCAACAGGACAGCAGGTAAACTGCAGCGGACAATTCACACAACCAATTCTATGAAGCATCAAACATGAATGTATAACAGCTGCACACAAAACAAAAATTTTACCATGTTGAGCAAAACAAAAGAATGTGTGCTGCAGGTCCATCTGCATCAAACTCAGAACAGGAAGCTGAATGGCAGGCTTTAGCGTGCACGCCAGATGGTGGGTCCACGAAGCACCAGCCACGCTTCCCCAGTGGGGGACACGGGGCCACTGGGTGCCCCTCCTCCACCCACATGGTGTTGGGTGCTCACTCACACCATGGGAACAGGGAGCTGTGCTTCTGTACAGACAGGACAGTTCTCAACAAGAAGGCTGACAGAGAAGCCAAGTTGGTTTTCATCCCTGAATTTATAAACTGATCAAATACCTTGCATTCTACAAATAAGCTAATAAATAAATAACTAAGACAAAACCCACCCTGACTTCTGCTCCCCCACGAACAGACTTACTCTGCTTAGCCTAGAGACAGCCAGAGACACGGAGGTTTTAAACTCTTCTGGGTTCTTCTGTGCTAAAGTGGTGATCAGACTTGTGGCTGCAGTTACCACACCCTGAAAGAAAACACACACACAAGAGTCAGAACACTTGAAGCTAACCACTTGTGTTCACTCATCTTCCAAAGAAAACCTTAAACCAACCAGCAGCACAGTGGCAGCCCACAGCCACCTCGGCCTCAGGCCTACTCCGAGAAACCTACAATGTTCTCCCAGATGGCACATGCAGATTTTCTTTTTCCAGCTTCTCCTTAAAAACTGGGAAGTTCCGTCATGCTTAGCCCAGATCCCTGCCAGCATCGAAGAGCCAGAGGGCCACGTCCAGCCATGCAGGTCAAGCATGTGGGCTGCACACGCCACCTTGCCTGCTGCCCTCTCCTGGCCTGGCCTCCACCGTCATCTGCACTTGCTGCCTCTGGTTTAATAACGCATGTTCACTGTAGAGGGAGACGCTACCTTTACACTGATCTGAATCTTTACAACCCAGAAGTGAGACTATAGAAAAGAGCAACTGGAGAAGTCCTTTTCCATTCTCCTTTTTGGAAAGTGGCCCTGGCAGTCACTCAACCACCATAGGCTGGATGAGGCCACTAGGCCCAGCACGCGAGTCCTCCCTCCCCGCTCCTCCTGGCCCTCAGTGAGAACAGATTCAGATCCCAGGGCACAAGCAGTCCTCCCCAAAGCACCGGGCAGCCTGTCACCGCTCCAGGACACGGCACCGGGCAGCCTGTCACCGCTCCAGGACACGGCACCGGGCACCCTGTCACCGCTCCAGGACACGGCACCGGGCACCCTGTCACCGCTCCAGGACACGGCACCGGGCAGCCTGTCACCGCTCCAGGACACGGCACCGGGCACCCTGTCACCGCTCCAGGACACGGCACCGGGCAGCCTGTCACCGCTCCAGGACACGGCACCGGGCAGCCTGTCACCGCTCCAGGACACGGCACCGGGCAGCCTGTCACCGCTCCAGGACACGGCACCGGGCAGCCTGTCACCGCTCCAGGACACGGCACCGGGCAGCCTGTCACCGCTCCAGGACACGGCACCGGGCAGCCTGTCACCGCTCCAGGACACGGCACCGGGCAGCCTGTCACCGCTCCAGGACACGGCACCGGGCAGCCTGTCACCGCTCCAGGACACGGCACCGGGCAGCCTGTCACCGCTCCAGGACACGGCACCGGGCAGCCTGTCACCGCTCCAGGACACGGCACCGGGCAGCCTGTCACCGCTCCAGGACAGCCACTAGGGAATCAGTCACTCAGACCTCTTGAAAAAAGACTTTAATTATATAAAGACATTCTCCCATAAATTTTTTTAAAAAATATAAAATAAATGATACCTATTCACTCTGAAGATGTAAACAGTGAGCTCAGGAAGTGTCTACTTGCGTGGGCACGGTGGCTTATGCTGTAATCCCAGCACTTTGGGAGGCCGAAGCAGGCGGATCCCCTGAGGTCAGGAGCTCAAGACCAGCCTGGCCAACACGGTGAAACCCCATCTCTACTAAAAATACAAATATTATCCAGGCGTGGTGGCACTCGCCTCGCCTGTAATCCCAGCTACTCGGGAAGCTGAGGCAGGACAATCGCCTGAACCCAGGAGGCAGAGGTTGCAGTGAGCTGAGATCGCGCCACTGCACTCCAGCCTGGGTGACAGAGCAAGCCTCTGTCTGAAAGGAAATGTCTACTTGAATGACTGATGCAATCCCCCCACCACTCGCCCTGTGCCACGGCTCCTCAGCCAGGCTGGGGTGCACCTACTATAGCACGGCACTCTCCCCAGAGACCTGCTGTGCCTGTGCCCTCAGCTTTCCAAGGAAAATGTGAAAGCTGTAAGAAAGAAATTGGTCTGATTGGTCTTCTTCCTGTATTTCTCGGTGAGCAAAGTGCTAACGGATTTTGCCATGTCCAATAAAGAACTTGTAAGAAACTGCAGGTCTGTAACTTCCATGAGGGCAGAGTCATTCCCCACGGGGCTCCTGAATGTTCACGGTGTGTTCCCCCAGGAAACACGCATCTAGAATGCCCCCTGCAACAGGCTGACAGGCGCGGAGCTCAGCCTCTCATTTAGGACGTCCTCCCCCTGCACTGAGACTGTAAGAGGCCTCTCGAGGGGCACACTCAGGCCCGCGACACGTGGCCCCACCCCTGTGGTGGCAGCTGGTGCCAAAGCGACCTCCGTGTCTCCTCAGTGGCCTCCAGCCCTTGGCCCAGCCCCCCAACCCTTCTCCCCATGGTGTCTCCTGTCCTTGTCCACTCCAACCTGTCTGCTCCATCAGGCCACCCTCAGGCTACAGACCCAAGGCTCGGCACGGTGCCCATGCAGCACTCGGGCCAAATCACCTCCCTCCCCACCACCCAACTCCGGGCGCAGGCCTGACCGCCGACCTTCTGACCCTCACCCACCTGGTCCCGCCCACGCTTCCTGTCCCACTCCACAAGACCTCCCTGAAGGACACATGGGGGAGCTCACTCACTCTAGGTGAGCAAATGACACCTTTCTTGGGGGCTCCTGACTTGAGACCAGAGAAGCCAAGCCTCAGGCCTTCGCTGTCAGAGGTGGAAGGCATTTGACAAAAGCCATGGCCACACAAAAGACAGCTGCCAGGGGTGCAGGTGCGCAAGCTGGGAGAGCTAAGGAGGGAAAGTACTGGGCAGCAGGGAGCCCACCCTGGGGTTGGCTGTGGCGTCCCTTCAGGATGAGTTTCCGTTGCCTATAACCAAGAATATGCTGACTCAAGTGCCTGGTGAAATAAAGCCAGATGCATAAAAATACAAAAAGCAAACCAAGTAGCTGGCGTCACAGAATCATAAAGTATCCAAGGAGAGGTGCCCTTGTGGCCATCTGAGGCAAGGCCCTGCCACCCTGAAAAGCACTCAGGGTGACCCTGCGGCTGCATGGCCATGGAAACTTCCTGCCAAGGCAGGAGCAATGACAGCAGTCCCGGCCAGTCCCACAGAGCGTGCACAGATCCTGTCTGCAGAAGGCCCAGGGGAAAGCAGGCAGCCCCGGTCCCTCAGCAGCCCAGTGACCGGCTGCCATGTGCAGCAGGAGCCCGGGGCCTGCCTCCCTGACCAGGCCCTGCCGACTCACAGCTCCCACATAGCTGCTTCACCCGCACACTCTCTGACGCCCAAGACCCCAACACGCCAACTCTGGGTACAGGCCTGGGGCTGTCAGAGGGCATTTCCTCTTTCCCAGCTTCGGCCTCCTTGACTGCAAAGCGGGAAAATCCCATGACCTCCCACGGTCCACGGGATGGTGGACGACAGCCTCCAGCAGCACCGTCTGAAAGGCTCCCCCGCCAGGATGGGGCTCACGGCAACATGGGAAAGTGGCATTCTCGGCCCTCTATCCTGGATCCTTGTGAACGCGTGACCGGCCCACATGCCTCTCCACGCAGCAGGAAATACTTCCACTCCTGCCAACTCTCACCCTCTCATTCATAGAGCAGAGTTCAGGCAGGACAAGCACATTCTGCCCACATCCACCCCTGCTGGATGCGGTGGACGGCTCTGTGACCCTCAAGCCCCTGAGGCTCACACACTAGCACAGCCCCTCCCCCACACGTGCCTCTCACAGCACCTGAACACACATCACCAAATCGCTGGAAACCTCCACCCTTGGTGTATGCCTATACCATGGGGGCCTGGCCCGTGGAGTAGGCACGAGGATTAGTAAGACTGCACGTTAGAGCCTAGATGAGGGCACAGGCAGCCGGGACACCAGGCAGGAGCTCCGCATACTAGATAGGTGTTTCCAGGAGACACGTGTCTCAGCTGGGGGTGTCTGCAGAGCCTCTGTGCTACCCGAGGGCTTCAGCCAATGCCTGGCCACAGGATGAGCAGAGGCGGAGTCTTACTCATCCAGCCCCAGGAAGGGCCCCCGTGGCCTCAGCACGCAGCCACAGCAGCCCCTGTGACAGCCTCTCCTGGGCATCCCGAGAAGGCGCACCATGGTGTCTTCACAACGGCCATCCCAAAGGTCACCTGGGGGAGCGGGGAGAACCAAAGCCAAGGGTGCTTACCAAGTGCTGGTCATTGAGCAGGTGCACCACTCGGGATGTCCAGTCGCCCATGGGGACAAGATCGGGGGACGTCCTGTACAGGCGCAGCAAGCACAGGGCCGCGCTCTGCTTCACGCTGTCCATAGTGTCTCTGAAAGACAGACGTCAAGAGTCACTCGCAACAGGCTGAAGACAGCGCAGAGCTGCACGGAGCACCCCCCCAGAGCCAGCAGGAGACGCGGGGGTGGGGCTGGCGCAGGGGCCAAGACAGCACTCAGGGCCGCCTGCCGAGGCCGCCTAGGGGGCAGCAGCAGTGTTCTCAGCATACATGGGCCCTGCTCCAAAGGTCTCCCTGCCAACCTTCTCACCACCAAAACCACCAGCCGACCACATGCAGCTCACATTGCTCATTTGTTGTTTGAACAATAGCTTTCTTGTTGTTGTTGTTACAACTTAATAATCCACAATCACAACAGAAATGCTTGGAGGGCCCTGCACCGCCATGGAGCTCCACATCTGCTTGATGATCTTCCCCTGCCCCACGCCCACCCTCACCCCACCACGCCCCACCCTGAACAGTGGGCTGGGCCACACATGCCCTTGCCCCTGGAGCAAAGGGCTTCGGGTCCCTACAGACACGGTGGGAAGGGAGCCGGCCATGGCTCTCCTGCTCTGCTGCCAACATGCTTGTCCAGGGCACAGACGTGTTCCATGCTCCGCTTATCCCCCTTCGCCCTCCTGCCACCAGATTCTGCTAAGCAGCTGGGAAGGCAACAGGGACCCTGGGGTGGACGCTGTGGAGGCACAGCTGAAAAAGGGCCAGTCTCTTCTCCAAGCGCTTAACAGAATCAGCTGGAATCTGCTGCCCCACATGGAAGGCAGAAAAGGGTATAGGGACTACCTGTACCATTTACCTTTTGGCTTTTTTATTCCTAAATCTCCCCCTATACTATTCCAAAAAATTACTTTGAATAAAAAATTCCCCTTCTGGGTGCCAACGCCCCTGCAAGGAGGAGTAGGTATTGTGTCCCTCTTCCGGCCCACCCCATCCTCACCAGATCAGCCCAGAGCAGCAACCGCACACACACCCTGCCATGCGTCCATGTGGATGTGTGGTCGAGGCCACGTCAGGGGTGTGTTCCAGGCGCCAGCAGGGCTGTCCTTGCCAGGCGGCTTCAGGACCCCATGACTGGGCCCCCAGCAGTCCTTCAACATAGAAGAGCCAACCAGGTTCCATGCTTGTGGCTACAAATGCCGACACACGAGGGCGCCCAGCATGCCACACTCCTCAGAGAGGAGGAGGATCCGCCTCCTCTTTTAGGCAGAAGAACACAGTCTAAATCATCAGCTCACACCAAGGGGACGGGGGCCCCACCACTACTCTCCGGTGTCAGCTCACACGAGGGAGACCGAGGACCCCACCATTACTTTCCAGCATCTGCTCACACAAGGGAGACAGAGGACCCCACCGCCACTCTCCGACGTCGGCTCACACGAGGGAGACCAAGGATCCCACAGCTACTCGCCGACGTCGGCTCACACGAGGGAGACCGAGGACCCCACCGCTACTCTCCGAGGTCGGCTCACACGAGGGAGACCGAGGACCCCACCGCTACTCTCCGACGTCGGCTCACACGAGGGAGACCGAGGACCCCACCGCTACTCTCCGACGTCGGCTCACACGAGGGAGACCGAGGACCCCACTGCTACTCACTAATGTCGGCTCGTAAGAGGGAGACCGAGGACCCCACCACTACTCTCCGATGTCGGCTCACACGAGGGAGACCGAGGACCCCACCGCTACTCTCCGACGTCGGCTCACACAAGGGAGACCGAGGACCCCACTGCTACTCACTAATGTCGGCTCGTAAGAGGGAGACCGAGGACCCCACCACTACTCTCCGACGTCAGCTCACACGAGGGAGACCGAGGACCCCACTGCTACTCTCCGATGTCGGCTCACACGAGGGATACCGAGGACCCTACAGCTACTCGCTAATGTCGGCTCACACGAGGGAGACCGAGGACCCCACGGCTACTCTGCACCTCCACGGGTTCTCTTTCCACCAACTCCGTCCATCCCAGCAGAGACACCACCCCACTCTTCTGCCTTGGCCGCTGCCTCCCGTCCCTACCTCTGGCCCTAGGAATGACCTGACCTCCTCAGCACCTACTCTGTCCTTCCATTTCTAGGTGACACACACACCAGCAGTCCTCCAATGACAGCACCTCCTTCCCGAGCATGTTTTTGTTTTTGTTTTTGAGACAGAGTCTCGCTCTTTCGCCAGGCTGGAGTACAGTGGAGCAATCTCGGCTCACTGCAACCTCCGCCTCCCGGGTTCAAGCGATTCTCCTGCCTCAGCCTCCTGAGTAACTGGGACTACAGGAGGGCGCCACCATGCCCAGCTAATTTTTCTGGTTTTAGTAGAGACGGGGTTTCACCATGTTGGCCAGGATGGTCTCGAGCTCTTGAACTCATGATCTGCCCGTCTCAGCCTCCCAAAGTACTGGGATTACAGGCATGAGCCACCATGCCCAGCTTTCTTTTTTTTTTTTTTTTTTTGAGACAGAGTCTTATTCTGTTGCCCAGGCTGGTGTGTAGTGGTGCAATCTCCAACTTACTGCAGCCTCCGCCTCCTGGGTTCAAGCGATTCTCCTGCCTCAAGCCTTCTGAGTAGCTGGGACTACAGGTGAGCACCACCACACCCAGCTAATTTTTGTATTTTTAGTAGAGACGGGGTTTCGCCATGTTGGCCGGGCTGGTCTCAAACTCCTGACCTCAGGCCCGCCCACCTTGGCCTTCCAAGTGCTGGGATTACATGCGTGAGCCACTGTGCCCAGCCTTAGCATATTACTTTGAGTCATCTACTACTTAGCTGGATTTCAACAACTAGCCCTTTTCTTCAAGGAAGGCCCATGGGTACCATGTTACCTGAGCTCTCTGAGGTAGGAGAACCCTGCCTGTGACCTTCATCCCCATGGGACCACTCAGGCACCAGAACACGGGCCACCCACTCCCTTCATGGGACCACTCAGGCACCAGAACACGGGCCACCCACTCCCTTCATGGGACCACTCAGGCACCAGAACACGGGCCACCTGCTCCCTTCTGGCTGCAGATGCTGTGCACTGGCCACCTGCTCCCTTCCAGCCGCAGATGCACTGCACTGGCCCCTGGAGACCCCTCCTCACCCTGGCTCCTCCCTCCTCTGTCCCTGGCTCCTGCAGCAGGTCCTCGGTTCAGGTAGTGCCCCACTTCATCAATCTGCACGTGCCTCAGGGGTGGCCCTGTCTTGCATTCCGCTCACGCGCAGACATCCACCAAGCACCTACTAGGGACCTGGTACTGTTCAAGATGCTAGGTTTGTAAAGCGGCCACCACAGTGGACAGAAACCTCAGAGCCCAGGAAGCTTCCACCCCAAGGGTGGAAACAGGTAATAAACAGGCAAGCAACAACCCTGGGGGCAGGAGGAGAGGGAGGGCCAGGAGGCCGTGGCCCTGAGGCAGAATCCACTGGACCTGCTGGCTGGTTTCGACCCCCAGCCCCACCCTCCCTCTCCTGCACCAGCGCCCTGTGATCATTCGAGCCTTCCTTCCATCTTGGGCACCCTGTTTTCGGGGCGCCCACATGCTCTGCCACCTATGACTGAATGGCCTGAGGAGCAACAGTGCCTTCAGGCACTGCGCCTGCTCCCCCGGCTCGGTGGTTCTGCTCCTGTCCATCCTACTGTGGGGTCACCCATCTCTGAGCTCTTGCGCTTCTGAATATCTGTCTTCTCGTGGTTATGCTGCGGTCTCTCTGCCAGCCGGGCTCCTCCTTGCCTCACAGCTGACAGGAGGCTGCCTCATTCTCTATTGTGGGACGTCCTCACCTCACAGCTGATAGAAGGCTGCCTCATTCTCTGTTGTGGAGCATCCTGAGTGGTGTGGGGTGCAGCACCCTGGTCTCTACCCACTGTGACAACCAAAAATGCCCCAAGACACGGCCCAGTACCCTCACAAAGCCAATGTGGCCCAGTTGAGACGCCGGTCTAGGCCTGTTTCTCTCATGCCTTCCCACCACCTTGTCTCCAGTCCTCACTGTGTGGTCTGGGTGGATGTCCACCCACTCTCCCGTGGCCTGAGGCCTAGCTCAGCCGGGTGGCACCGTGTGGGCGAGGGGTCAGTTTCCCAACTCCGCAGGGTATCCTGGAACACACAGGTGGGGGCCCTGCCTGTGGCACAGACACCCCAGGGTTGCTTTAAGCTCTTCCAGAGCTGGTGACTCAGCCCCTCGAGGCTTCTCTCCAAATTAACAAGGGACGGAACGGATGGCCGAGGGCGCTCCGGCGCGGTGCTCGGCTTCTCCGCGTGAAGCCCTGGGGAACGGGCACGAGGAGGAGCTGCCCAGAGATGCATCGTTCTACCCAGTGCCCTGCGGGGCTGAAGCCCCTTCTTGGTTTTGCTGGCAGGGTGTGGGCGTTCTTCTTTGATCTGTGTTTTGAATCTCAGTGGTATTAGATTGCACTTTAATTGAAATCTAAACTTGTAATTCTCTTTTTGCTTTGGAGACAGGGTCTCGCTCTGTCGCCCAGGCTGGAGTCTCCAAGGCATGAACACGGCTCACTGCAGCCTTGACTTCCTGGGCTCAAGCAATCCTCCTGCCTCAGCCTACCAAGTAGCTGGGACGACAGGAGCACGCCACCACAACTGGCTAATTTTTTAAAACTGTTTGTAGAGATGGGATCTCCCTATGTTGCCCAGGCTGGTCTTGAACTCCTGGGCTCAAGCGATTCTCCCACCTTGGCCTCCTACGGTCCTGGGATTAGAGGCGTGAGCCACCGTGCCCGGCCTAAACTTGTAATTCTGGATCCCACCTTAGGCTACATCTCATCTCCCATAAGATGGGGAGAGTAAAACATTTCCTAGGCTAAGCAGCTCCATATTTGATGTATTTGGCATGAAAGCAGCACATCTTCAGCAGGAGCCCGGCACGAGCCCGGCACATACCCGGCTACGAGGACCTTAGGGATCTCCCCGGCGAAGGCCTCGGCCATCTCCCGGCTGCCCACGCTGGCGATGCAGTGCAGGGCCAGGCCCATGAAGGTGGGGTTGCGGCTGGCCAGGTCATTCTTGATGGCGTTGTTGATCAGGCGGATCAGCTCACTGTTTGAGTTCACCAACACAGAGATGAAAAGGTAGCCCTGCGTTCCAAAAGACAGGAGAAGAGAAAGCTCATGACAATCCAAGTCCACCTGTGGCCCTGAGTCACCCAACAATCAGTGACACACAGATGCGGAAGCAGCCCAGGCACCACCCACGCACCCAGGGCACTGCTGTGGGAGCGGCGCCTCTCAGGATTCGGCAAACGTCTGTTCCAGTGGAACCGAGGATGCCTCTGCTACGATGCTCTCATGGCGCAGCGTTCCTGTGGGGCACACCTGACTAGCGTGCCACGAGCCAGATGCCAACAGGAACTGGACCCCCCGGTCCCACTCACTTCACTGTGGGCCACGCGTCTGAGTGTTCCGGACATCACACTATCCTCAAGTTAAGATGGGCAGGAACCTTCACTGAGAGGCTGATTTTAGCTACAACAATTTCCAGAAACCCGGCTGCCTGTTCCCTCCCACTCTTTAATCTGCCTGTGTCACAGCCTCATGCCGCCCCCCTCCACCCCCACTGACCCAGGGCAAACCCCAGTCCTGTGTCACTGCCACTTCTTCCCAGCCATCCTCGAAGGTGACACCCTCCCCACCTGGAGGGAAACAGTGGTTTTCTCCAGGCCCATCACTGAGCACCCCGGTTAAAGATGTACCCAGCCTCCCACGGCTCCCAGGAAGACGCCACGAGGGAGCTCCCGCCCTGCCAAACACCACTGCCCTTTCAGCCCTGCGCTCGCACGCCCAGGCCACTGCCAGGCACCACCTGCTCTGCTCTCCCTGCTCCTCCCACCCTCAGCCCCCAGTTAACTTCCCCTCCCTCCAGCCTCAGCTCAACACACCCACCTCCACTCCCTCTCTCAAATCCTTTCAACTTCTATGTCTGTGGAGCCATGTGACACCCATCTCCCCCAGGACAAGGGCAGGCCCAAGTTCCAGTCCCTGTGCCTCCGTCCTCAAGGCTAATCCCCCATCCCCCCAACACACCACAGGCACTCCACAAATGCTTGAATAAACACCAATACTTATCAAAACCCCAAGACATCTACAGTCTCTCTTAATTTCTCTAAGTTAAATTTTTTGACAAATGGAAGAAAATATTACTTTATACCACCAGGGAAAACATAGAAATAATGTGACTGCAAGAGACTACACAGCTCAACGTGCAGAGCCCAAGAAGACTTCAAAAGTAGAGTGACAGGACACTGTGCACCAGCCCGGCAAGGGCTGGGGAGATGGTGGGGTGAGCACCCTCCGCACCAAGACCCAGCCATGTGCCTCCAGCGCCTACTGCAGAAACAAAGCTGTCCAAGGGACCACGGGACGGGTCTACTTGGGACAGTGCGTCAACAAGGCACTGTGTCAGGGAGACATCCTCCCCTCCTCTGGAGGCCGACCTCATGGGCACAGAGCACCAACCACATCAAACGCTGGGCCGCGTGCGGCACTCTCCAGACCAACCGGGCAGTCCTGAAACTCGCCGTAAGGGAGGTTGCAAAGAAAGGAGGAAAAGGCATGGCCACCTCATCAGGAAAACCGCATGCAGGAGGAGGAACCCTGTGAGGGCATCAGGGCTTCCTGAAGAACACCCAGCTTGGGCGGGAAGGGGGCCCGCAGGGTGTTGGCAGCAGGTGCTAACAAGGACTGGGCACGCGTCTCCATCTGCAGCAGACCCACGTGGCTCACGTCAGCTGTGGGCAGAGAAGGAAGCAGCGGCCCTACACGGGCACCGGGCCTCAGTCCTGCCAGGCCCACGCCATCCTCTGCCGTCTCCACCTGCAGCGATACTCACGATCTGCTTTTCCGTGTATCTGTTTGAACTCAGCAGGTTCACAGCCTCCATGTGTCCAAAGTCAATGTCATGACCAAGGAGAAAGATGAAGAGCAACTTGCAGACGTACTTTTTTTTACTATAGCCATCAAGAGCCTTGTCACCTACAGAAAAGGTGGGGAAGAGGTTTTATTCCAGGCGGGCAGAGGCAGGGGAGAGGGGAGAGCAGAGGGCAGTGCAGCAGTACAGCAGGCAGCACGGACAAGCCTCCAGGAGAGGGGTGGCCGGGCCCAGGCAGGTGCAGTGCAGACGCTGCTGAGCATGAATAACCTTTCTAAACTCATGGTACTCATGAGAGTCCAAGTTTTTTATTTCCCTTTTAAAAACAGGCACCAGAACATCTGGCAACAAGAGTTCTACCCTCCCACGACAACCCTGGGCAGGTGCAGCCCAGCTGGCCCTCACAGGGCCTCACTCCGACCAGCCAAAATCCCACAGAGGGCCCTGCTGTGATGGAACTTGCAAACCCTGCCTTCAACCATCAAGCTTGTCTTTGAAATCAGTTTAATTTAGGCATATGAACACAGTCTAAATTATCTGCCACTTCATAGCCATTCTAGGGCAAATCAGCTGGTCATGAAAACAAGGCCCACACGCGACGGCCCCTAGGGCTTCTGTTTCTCTGCCTCATCGCAGTTTGTCTGAGCCCCTCACAAGGGATCATGGCAGGGCAGGTTCAAAACATGTAATTGGCAGAATATAAAATTCCAAAATATAAAACCAACCCTTAAAAAAAGGGCCATTCTGGGCCCGGCACGGTGGCTCACGCCTGTAATCCCAGAACTTTGGGAGGCCGAGGCAGGTGGATCACCTGAGGTCAGGAGTTCGAGACCAGCCTCAACATGGAGAAACACCATCTCTAGTAAAAATACAAAATTAGCCAGGCGTGGTGGTGCATGCCTGTAATCCCAGCTACTCGGGAGGCTGAGGCAGAGAATTGCTTGAACCTGGGAGGCGGAGGTTGCGGTGAGCCAAGACCACACCATTGCACTCCAGCCTGGGCAACAAGAGCAAAACTCCATCTCAAAAAAAAAAAAAAAAAAAAAAAAAAAGGGCTGTTCTACATTGCCAGGAGTTTCTATCCCACCTGAGAGGTGAGGGAGTGTCCCTCAGAGCCAGCCTCCAGCAGGCTGTGGAGGCGAGCGAGAAAGGTGGCCTTGTGCAGGCCGAGTCTCACAGAGACTCTGCTGCCACAGCGTGAAGGAACGCAGGCTGGGAAGACAGCCCAGCTGCGACAGCCGCTCTGGCCCCCTTCTTGTGAAGGGCTGGGGCGCTCACACCTCCACGGACGACCTCAACTGTGTAGAATACAGACCGGCCACATTTCCTGGGGAACGGTGCATCACCAGTCGGCCAGTCAGCTGCATGCTGCACTCTGAGGAGCTCATGAGAAACCCCCCTCCTTGTCAGCGGCAAATTAACATAATTTAAAAGACCAGATGATATAAATAAAAGCAGACCCGACCTGGTTCCTCCCTCCCCCGGCCCCGACCCACTTATCTGCTTGCTGTGCCCAAGGGGTCCCAGCAGACACGTTCTCCGTGCCCTGTTTGTGCAGGAGGGCACACACAGCTGAGCACGGGCTGCGCAGCAGAGATCCTCCACTGGGAAGCCCCAGCACCGTGTCTCCTACCCAGCCCAGATTCCATCACCCGCTGGAAGCCGCCTTGGACAACCACAGCCAAAAATACTGCTTGACCTCCTCCTCCCTCCGGAGACTTCCCTGTTACTCAAAGCACCTCTCAAAGGAAAAAATAACTGACAGGGGAGAGGACCAGCGGCCCGACTGGGCTGAGTTTTGTGGGACAGGGATGGGGACGGGGATGGAGACGGGGATGGGAACAGGGGCGGAGACGGAGACAGGCTCTCTCCGAGAGGAGCCGACCAGCCTCTGCTCCCGCGGGACCCCAGACGAAGAGCTGCTCTAGAGCTCCCGGGTGCTGGGAAACTTAGGCCCACCTTTAGAAGCTGAGCCCACTGGTCAGTGAGGGTGATGCAGGATCACCTCTGGGCCTCCCAGAGATGTCACAGAGCACTCCCCTGGGCACACCACCCCTGTTGCATAAGCACCGTGAGGGGCAGCGGAAGTCGCCAGCGCGAGGAGAAAGCCACAGTGCTCGGCCCGCTGCTCATGTGGCAGCACGTGGATTCCTGGCCTAACCCAGGGCCACAGGAAACAAGCAGCAATGCTCGCTCCACACCCTCACCCATCTCGGTGGGGCAGGTGGCAGGTGAGCCCGCCAGCTCCCCTGGCAGGTGCCACTGTGAAGTTTATCCCTCCTGAAAGGACCCAGACTGATACAGTCTTCAAAATGCTGGTTTCAGTACTAGGCTAGAATTACTTTTTTATTCTAGTAATTTCAAAATGTTGAGTTGAACTTTAATATTCTGAGCTATAAAAGGCAGAGGATAACAGTAATATCTGTCTCCTTGGTTTGTGCAGATCAGAGGAGAGATGGCTGGAAAACCTCATCCTAAACCATAAAAGGATCACGATTAAGTTTGGGCTCCAGTCTGAAAGATGCAGCCACTTGCTTGTCTTGTGGTCTCAGACGTATTCCTTAACCTCTCTGAGCCCAACTTTCTCAGCAGGTTACTATAAAAATGAAACAGGGCCGCGCATGGTGGCTCACGCCTGTAATCCCAGCACTTTGGGA
Source organism: Homo sapiens (assembly GCF_000001405.40). Lineage (NCBI taxonomy): Eukaryota > Metazoa > Chordata > Mammalia > Primates > Hominidae > Homo > Homo sapiens. Next base: position 30,358 of record NT_187656.1, on the reverse strand, counting down.
GGCTGAGGCAGGAGGATCATGAGGTCAGGAGATAGAGACCATCCTGACTAACACGGTGAAATCCTGTCTCTACTAAAAATACAAAAATAAGCCGGGCGTGGTGGCGGGCGCCTGTAGTCCCAGCTACTCGGGAGGCTGAGGAAGGAGAATGGCATGAACCCGGGAGGCAGAGGTTGCAGTGAGCCGAGATCGCGCCACTGCACTCCAGCCTGGGTGACAGAGCGAGACTCCATCTCAAAAAAATAAAATAAAATAAAAAAATAAAACGAAACAGCACAGCACGGACGGAGCATCAGGTGTCTGAGGCAACGTAAGGTCACAACACAGGTTCATGAGCACCATCTTTCACTGACTCATCAGATGCACACAGACTTCACAGACGATAAAATGTGACAAAATGTCTACCTCATAATGACTGAAACCTGCTTGGTTATTTTTGTTTTGTTTTTCCCAGACAGTCTTGCTCTGCTGCCCAGGCTGGAGTGCAGTGGTGCAATCTTGGCTCACTGCAACCTCCACCTCCCAGGTTCAAGCGATTCTCGTGCCTCTGCCTCCCGAGTAGCTGGGATTACAGGCACACGCCACCACACCCAGCCAATTTTTTTATTTTTAGTAGAGATGGGGTTTCACCATGTTGGCCAGGCTGGTCTCAAACTCCTGACCTCGTGATCTGCCCTCCTCGGCCTCCTAAAGTGCTGGGATTACAGGCGTGAGCCACCACGCCTGGCCTGGTATTTTTTTATAACAAAATATCAAGTAGAATAAGATAAACTGGAGAGTGAGTCAGGAACCAGAGCCTCCACGCCTTCTCTTGACCTGAAAGTTGGGAAAAGGGACAGTGCCCTGACTGGCCACCAGCCATCTGGTCACCAGCCAGAGGCACTGCTGGCTCTACACTCTCCAACCCACACAGCCTGCATGAGGCTCACACCCTCGGGGGCAGGGTGGGAACTCCTTCCACTTCCTCACCAATGCACACCAGCCCCAACAACAGTGTGTGGCACAAGGCAGTTGCTCAGTCTTTGCCTTTTACATCAATGAATTAATAATCAAGCAAACTCACGGTAAAATGAAAAACAGGCTGCCCAAGTGAAAGAAAAAGTAAAGTGTTTTGTCTGGAGACAAGGTCTCCCTCTGCCACCCAGACTGGAGTGCAGTGGCATGACCACAGCTCACTGCAGCCTCAACCTCCTAGGCTCAAGTGATCCTCCCACCTCAGCCTCCCAAGTGGCTGGGACCACAGGCATGTGCAACCACACACGGCTAATTTTTTGTACTTTTAGTAGAGATTTTTAGGGTTTCACCACGTTGCCCAGGATGGTCTTGAACTCCTGAGCTTAAGTGATCTGCCTGCCTCGGCCTCCCAAAGTGCTAGGATTATAGGCACGAGCCACCGCGCCTGGCCTATTTAGCAAATTAATGTGCACAACCTGGAAAACTCCTGGAGATGATCAGTCATAAGAAATTCCCAGTCAGGTGCAGTGGCTTACGCCTGTAATCCCAGCACTTTTGGGAGGATTCACTTGAGGTGGGTGAGTTCACCTGAGGCCATGAATTTGTGATCAGCCTAGGAAACACAGCGAGACCCCATCTCTACAAGTTTTACAATTTGCTGGGCGTGGTGGTGCACACCTGTAGCCCTAGCCACTCGGGAGGTGGAAGCAGGAGGATGACCTGAGCCCAGGAAGTCAAGGCTGCAGTGAGTTAGGATCATGCCACAGCACTCCAGCCTGGGCAACAGAACAAGACCCTGTCTCTTTAAAAAAGAAAGAAACTACCATGTCTCTGTAGAGTATGAGAACACAACAGTTGTTTTCTAAAGGCTTAAAGATGGAAGGCACACCTGTGAACATCCCAGTAACTCCCCTGGGCTCCCACTAGCATGGCAGGTGCACATAAGCACTGATTTCTTGCCCATGCGTCTGCAGGTCAGCCGGGGCCACCGTCAAGACACCGTCAGATCTGGACGGGCCTGCTGTGCATGGCTCTGCTCCAGGCCCACACCACCCAAAGCACATCCTTACCATAGCAGAGGTAGGAAGAGCCCAGAGGGGAGACTCCCTTAAAGCCAAAGTTGGGACTGACATGAACACTTTTCTCCACACACCTTAGGCCACACATCAGATGGTCACACCTAACAACCCTCATTAAAGGATAAAGATCACAGGGAAGCCATTTGGGCCTACAGTCTTCTTGATGGCAAACAAATACGGTTTCAACTCTCTGAAGTTCACTGCACTACTGAAGAAACTCCACAGACAGACATAACCACGAGACACAACACACTGGCGTTACCTACACATCTCCCGCTGTCCTGCCCATTCCATTCTTTCCACCTCCACGCTTCCATCTGGGATTATTTCCTTTAATTTCCCGCCCGTTCCATGCTTTCCACCTCCACGCTTCCATCTGGGATTATTTCCTTTAATTTCCCGCCCGTTCCATGCTTTCCACCTCCACGCTTCCATCTGGGATTATTTCCTTTAATTTCCCGCCCGTTCCATGCTTTCCACCTCCACGCTTCCATCTGGGATTATTTCCTTTAATTTCCCGCCCGTTCCATGCTTTCCACCTCCACGCTTCCATCTGGGATTATTTCCTTTAATTTCCCGCCCGTTCCATGCTTTCCACCTCCACGCTTCCATCTGGGATTATTTCCTTTAATTTCCCGCCCGTTCCATGCTTTCCACCTCCACGCTTCCATCTGGGATTATTTCCTTTAATTTCCCGCCCGTTCCATGCTTTCCATCTCCACGCTTCCATCTGGGATTATTTCCTTTAATTTCCTGCCCGTTCCATGCTTTCCATTTCCACGCTTCCATCTGGGATTATTTCCTTTGGCATTTCCTTTAACACAGGCCTTCTGGTAGGAAATTCTTTCCATTTCTGTCTTCGGCAGGTATTTTTTAGCTTCATTTTTGTTGTTGTTGTTGTTGTTGTTCACAACATTTTATTAAAAAAAAATAGGAAAAGTGAGACTGTGGCATTGACCATGTAGCAGGGTGGTAGCACTCCAGCCCATGCTCTGGCCAAACCGACTTCAGCCTTACATGCAGGCTGCCTACCAATTCAGGAACAGGGCCCCAAATTAATTCCCTTTGAGGCCAACCAGATTCCCCTAACACCCCATCAAGCTTTTTCTGCCCTGTTCATCTGCAGGTGAACCCCAGATCCTGCCCACCCCAGAATATGCCAATTTTTATTATCTAAAATGGAGCCTACAGACTGGTGCCCCGCAGAGAAGCCCCAGAACTCCAGGTCAGAGCTGAAGCTGCAGTCAGACCCACAGGCTCCCTTGAAGCAGGATGGTTCGTGATGCCCCACTCAAACAGGGTAGCTTCATTGTTGAAAGGTATTTTTGTTGGATATCGATTCTTTCCCTGGTTGTAACCTTCCCAACATTTTGAGGTTGTGTAGAGCACCCCCATGTCAAGACACCCAGCGGCAAGTCTGGAAGAGGACTGGCTCACTGACAGTTCACTCTGCCCTACGGGTATTCCCTCTGGTGAGGCCTTCAGTTCACAGTGGAAGGGGGTCTCCAGTCTTTGACTATCATCCCTCTAGACAAGGCTCCTCAGCCCTGGCACCACTGACATCCTGGCTGACGCCTCTGTTGTGGGGGCCACTCTATGCACTTCGGTTGTTTAACAGCCTCCCACCTCCACCCACGAGTGGACCCACACTCCTAGGGGCCAGGTGCAGTGGCTCATGCCTATAATCCCAGCACTTTGGGAGGTCAAGGCAGACCGATCTCTTGAGCCCATAAGTTTGAAACCAGCCTAGGTAACATGGCAAGACCCCATCTCTACAAAACTTTTTTTAAATGTTAGCCAGGCGTGGTGGTGCGCGCCTGTGGTCCCAGTTACTTGGGAGGCCAAGGTGGAAGGATGGCTTGAGCCCGGGGGGTTGAGGCTGCGGTGAGCTGTGATTGCACTGGGCAGCCTGGTCAACAGAGCAAGATCTTGTCTCAGTAAATCAATAGATCAATCAATTGATCAACTGTTTTCAACAGAAGGGTTGCTCTAAATCAGCAGTGCTCACACAGCAGCCTCATGCCACATGCGGTCAGTGAGCAAGTGAAACAGCCAGTACAAAGTGAGACTCACTCTTAAGTGTGACACACACACCAGACTTCAAAGACCTGGTATAAAATAACTCGGTACCTTGTTTTTTTTTTAGTTTTTTTTTCTGAGACAGAGTCTCACTCTGTCGCCCAGGCTGTAGTGCACTGGCACGATCTCGGCTCACAGCAACCTCTGCCTCCTAGGTTCAAGCGATTCTCCTGCCTCAGCCTCCCGAGTAGCTGGGATTACAGGTGCCCGCCACCATGCCCAGCTAATTCTTGTATCTTTAATAGACACGGGGTTTCACCATGTTGGTCAGGCTGGTCTCAAACTCCTGACCTCAACTGATCCAGCCACCTCGGCCTCCCAAAGGGCTGGAATTACAGGCATGAGCCATCGTGCCAGCCAGTTTTTTTTTCAATTGATTACAACGAAATTTTAGATATACTGAACTAAATAAAATATATTATTAATTTCATTTGCTCCTTTTTACTTTTTTTCAATGAGGCTGCCAGAGCCTTTAGACCTATGAATGTGACTGATACTCTATTTCTAAATTGGACAGCACAGCTCTAAGTCATCTCATCTACCCACAGCTGGCAGGGCAGGCCTCAGGCAGCACATTTCTTACGGACAAGGAGTAGATTTTCTTCTATGTCTGCTGCCACCACCCAGGGTACGCGCGTGCTCAACAAAAGCCAACAGATCACTGTGTAGGAGGGGCCACCTTCCCTATCTAGGACAGCCAGACAGGCATGAAGTCTCCTTTAGTCCCAAAACATTTATACAGAATTTATAAAACAAAATTTTTTTTTTTTTGAGACAGAGTCTTGCTGTGTCTCCCAGGCTGGAGTGCAATGGCGAGATCTCGGCTCACTGCAACCTCCGCCTTCCCAGTTCAAGCGATTCTCCTGACTCAGCCTCCCAAGTAGCTGGGACTATAGGCACGCGCCTCCACACCCAGCTAATTTTTCTATTTTTAGTAAAGATGGGGTTTCACCATGTTGGCCAGGCTGGTCTCGAACTCCCGACCTCAATCGATCCGCCCGCCTCAGCCTCCCACAGTGCTGGGTTACAGGCGTGAGCCACCACGCCTGGCCAGAGAGTTTGTAAATTTAACAGCCTAGCAAAGTCTTTGAAGTTACACCTCAACACATTAGATGATTCTTCTGAAACCTATAAAAACCTCCCATTCGAATTTCATCTTCACCATTCTGAAGGCCATGAACTCTTTTCACAATAACAAAATGGATTCACACTGGCTGGGTGCTGGTTTCCTTTCAAGCAATTTCTATGCATTTCCTCATTTCCTCACAATGAGCACAGCAGACGCAGATCCCATTCAGTGAAGGCCCAGTGACACCAAGAGTAAGGCTGGCTTTGTCATGGTCCGGCTCCCCCAGGTTGAGAGCCACGGCTGAGCAAGAGGGTGCCAGGGCGCAGCCCTTTCAACCCAGTGCCACCACCTCCAGCCGGCAATCTGGGCTCCCGAGCTCCCTGATGGGCAGGTGGCGGCGACTGTCAGACCCACATCTCCATCTGCTTCCGCCCTTTACTTTTCACTAGTGGTGGCGACTGTCAGACCCACATCTCCATCTGCTTCTGCCCTTTACTTTTCACTGGTGGCGGCGACTCTGTCAGACCCACATCTCCATCTGCTTCCGCCCTTTACTTTTCACTGGTGGCGGCGACTCTGTCAGACCCACATCTCCATCTGCTTCCGCCCTTTACTTTTCACTCGTGGCGGCGACTCTGTCAGACCCACATCTCCATCTGCTTCCGCCCTTTACTTTTCACTGGTGGCGGCGACTATCAGACCCACATCTCCATCTGCTTCCGCCCTTTACTTTTCACTGGTGGCGGCGACTGTCAGACCCACATCTCCATCTGCTTCCGCCCTTTACTTTTCACTGGTGGCAACTCTGTCAGACCCACATCTCCATCTGCTTCTGCCCTTTACTTTTCACTGGTGGCAACTCTGTCAGACCCACATCTCCATCTGCTTCTGCCCTTTACTTTTCACTGGTGGTGGCGACTGTCAGACCCACATCTCCATCTGCTTCTGCCATTTACTTTTCACTGGTGGTGGCGACTCTGTCAGACCCACATCTCCATCTGCTTCTGCCCTTTACTTTTCACTAGTGGTGGCGACTGTCAGACCCACATCTCCATCTGCTTCTGCCCTTTACTTTTCACTGGTGGTGGCGACTCTGTCAGACCCACATCTCCATCTGCTTCTGCCCTTTACTTTTCACTGGTGGCGGCGACTGTCAGACCCACATCATCTGCTTCTGCCCTTTACTTTTCACTGGTGGTGGTGACTGTCAGACCCACATCTCCATCTGCTTCTGCCCTTTACTTTTCACTGGTGGCGGCGGCTGTCAGACCCACATCTCCATCTGCTTCTGCCCTTTACTTTTCACTGGTGGTGGTGACTGTCAGACCCACATCTCCATCTGCTTCTGCCCTTTACTTTTCACTGGTGTCACTCTGAATAAATCTTCTGTACACAGCCCATTTCAGAGTCCACATCCTGGAGAACCCAACTTGAGATCACTGGTTTCCCCATTCTACAGTTAAGAACAAAGGTGCACACCGGGCGCAGAGGCTCACGCCTGTAATTCCAGCACTCTGGGAGGCCAAAGCAGGTGGATCACCTGAGGTTGGGAGTTCGAGACCAGCCTGACCAACATGGAGAAACCCCCGTCTCTACTAAAAATACAAAAACCAGCCGTGTGGGGTGCAGTGGCTCACGCCTGTAATCCCAGCATGTTGGGAGGCTGAGGCAGGTGGATCACTTGAGGTCGGGAGCTCAAGACCAGCCTGACCAACATGGAGAAACCCCATCTCTACTAGAAGTACAAAAATCAGCCAGGCCAGGCACAGTGGCTCACGCCTGTAATCCCAGCATGTTGGGAGGCTGAGGCAGGTGGATCACTTGAGGTCGGGAGTTCGAGACCGGCCTGACCAACATGGAGAAACCCCGTCTCTACTAAAAGTACAAAAATCAGCTGGGCCGGGCACAGTGGCTCATGCCTGTAATCCCAGCACTTTGGGAGGCCGAGGCGGGCAGATCACTTGAGGCCAGGAGTTTGAGACCAGCCTGGCCAACATGGAGAAATCTCGTCTCTACTAAATAAAATTACAGGCATGTGGTGGCACACGCCTGTAATCCCAGCTACTCGGGAGGCTGAGGCAGGAGAACCGCTTGAACCTGGAAGGCGGAGGTTGCGGTGAGCCAAGATCGTGCCACTGCACTCCACACTGAGCGACAGAGCAAGACTCCATCTCAAAAAAAAAAAAAGAAAAGAAAAGAAACTACTGGATATCCATTCTCAAGCCCTCAAAAGCACCCATCCCATGAAACTCCAGTTGTCCCCAAGCTGTGTTCTGCCTGTCCCTCCAGTTCCACAGGGGTCAGGCTCAGCCCTCTCCCCGACTCATTGTGCCTGGGCAATTTCAGCTACACCGTGGCTAAGGTATGCTCAGGGAGGTGAGCCAGGTTGCAAATCTGTAAACATTAACTGAAAAATTAAGGCTTTAAGGATTAACTGGGGTTTCAAAAATGTCCCAAGGGCTGAAAACTAAATCCGTACTTCACAATTCTTCAAAGTAAGGATGTTCAGGGAAGGCACTCAGCCCACACACTGGCTCACAGAGAGGCAGTCCACCGAGCGCAGGTCAGGTCCCTGTTGACCGTCAGCAGGAGGCGTTCGGTGGCGCCTTACACAGAGCACTTCCCGTACTTGGTGTCTGTCCTCTGAACCCCCAGCACGCTGGCCTGGTGGCTAATACTGCGACATGCAGCTGGGCACTAGACCAGTGCTGTTCCAGCTCCAGGAAAAGACCAGACACCAGGAGGGGCTGCCCCACCTAACCAGCTCCACACATGCCATTTCCTAATTCTGACAGGGCCCTGATAGAAACTGTACAAACTGAGAACTTCACTTTAGTGTGGGAGAAAAGAAGACAGTATTAAAAGACTGGGTTCTTACTACAGAAAATTTACAACAGGACATTTCATGGAAAAGGTTAAACATACTTACCTTTAAATTTTGATCTGATATTTGCCAGTTCCTTGTTTATCCTTTTTATTTCTGCTTCTTTACTTTTACCTAAAAAAAAGAACAAAAAGCCATTTTTATTTTAATTGATTTCTAAAGAAACACCATTTCCCTGATAAGACTGACACTCAGAACTCACGAATGGGATGAGGCCCCGTTTCAAGGCAGGAGAAAAGCCGAAGCAGACACCTGCCTCCAACCCAGAGCCGGCAGGAAGGGGCTGCAGCAGGGCCGGGGCCGGGACTGAGCCTAGGGGAAAGGGAGTGCCTGGGTCAGGACAGCAAAGGAGCGAGTCCTGAACCGCCCGGGCCAGCCGCTGCGCACCCAGGGGGTGCTCCACAGCACCATTTCTAACTCTACCTCTTTACCAAGCTCAGAACTCAAATATCTTGCTGGATGTTTGCCATGATAAATCGTCATCCGCTAATAACACGGAGGTTTACTCCTAAAATCAACTTCCACTGCCAAAAGCACACAGTTTTACTACTATAGGCTTTCAATTTTCTTTTATAAATTCACCTCCACAGTTTCTTCCTCGATCAACTGCAGTCGCAAAACAGATGCAGCCTCTGCAACACGCATCCTTCAAGACTCAGCTCAGATGTGCCCGTTGAAATCAGCCTGCCTCCCCTGCCGTATGGACTGAATGTTTCTGTCCCCTCAAAATTCGCATGCTGAAGCCCTAACCCCAATGTCATAGTATCTGAAGATGGAACCTTTGGAAGGTGGCTGGGTTTAGATGGGGTCATGAGGTGGGCCCTCATGATGGGATTAGCACTCCTACAAGAGAAGTCCTCAGCAAATATGGTTAGGTACTAATATCATTAATAATATTAGGAGTGCTCCCACCAACAGCCCCAAAGGCTAGCTTCTGTCCAAAGCAGGAAAGACTGATCTATTCAGTCTATCTGTTGATAGACATTACAACCTATCTGTTGTCAAATCTAGTCATTTAAAATAGTCTTTCTTTTTGGCTTATCCATCCCCAATGGCAATCAAAATACCTGAACTGACACATTTCAATTTCATGTGTCTCATTTGAAAGCAATGCCCAGGATCTGTAATTCCTCATGGTCATAAAATGATGGAATGTCAGGGCTACAGGTCCCTTAGTCTGCTCCGGCTGCCATGACAAAACACCCCAGACGGGGCGGCTGAAACACTTCATCTTCTCACAGGCCTGCAGGCTGGAAGCCTGTGAGCAACACACCAGCAGGGTGGTTTCTGGTGAGGGCTCTCTTCCTGGCTTGCAGACAGCCACCTTCTGTGTGCTCACGTGGCCTTTCTTTGACGCATGCTTATGAAGCGAGCACGCTCTCTCTTCCTCTTACAAGGCCACCAATCCTACAGGATTAGGACCCCACCTCTATGACTTCATTTAACCTTAAATGCCTCCTGAAAGCCCTGTCTCCAAATCCAGTCACACTGGGGTTGGGGCTTCAGCATATGAACTGGGGTGGAGCCACGGAGGCAACTCGGTCCACAGCTAGAGGGAACCTTAAAGACGGACTGATGCATTTGTTCCGTAAATATCCACTGAGCACCTACAACTGTCCACACATGGTGCTGGGCACCAAGGCACAAGGATGAGCAAAAACAGACATGGTCTCTGTTACCCTCACGGAAGACACAGTCTGGCAGAAGACTGTTACTGACCAAGCAGTCGCACACCTATTTAATCACCATGTGCTGTGTAAGGAAAGCAGATGAAGCTAGGAGGGATTACGATACAGGGAGCAGGTCTGTGCTGCAGGGCAAACAGTTGTTGGTAGGAACATGAGGGCTTTCCTACAAAATCTGACAAGTCCACTTGCATAATATCCAATTGTGATATTATACATACATACTGGTTTTCATCTACAGTTCCTGGCTCAAAACTCTCACAGCTCTTGTTATTTTTTCCCCAAGGCAGGCCATAAGACTAACAAGGGACTCTAACCACCCCCAGCCTTTCTGTCGTGGAGCTGGCCATAAATTCTCTGACCTACCTTGTCTGACTGTGGGTCACAAGACCCACATTTCTGAAGGGGCCCTGCCCCACACCCCGGGGGAAGGAACGCCGCACAGATAGGCCGGGAAGAATCTGCACAGACAGGCCCTGCTGGGTTTAGATCACACCCTTTTGGTCCAGTCCCATTTGTACACAGCTGTCAATCATGCCTATCCAATGAAGTCTGCACAAAAGGCCCAGGAGGACAGGGTTTGGGGAACGTCCAGATAACTGAACACATGGGGATCCCTGGAGGGACATGGAGCGGCCATGGCCCGGTACCATGCCCTACGCATCACGTCACCTGCACCCTTCATACTAGCTTTTATGATCAAATAAATGTGTTTCCCTGAGTTCTGTGAGCCTCTCTAGCAAACTAATTGAATCCAAAGAGGGGGTCGTGAGATGTCCATTCACAGTCTGTCATGCACAAGCACAGGTCACAACCTGAGGCTTGAGGCTAACATGAGAAGTAGGGGGTAGCCCTGGGACTCCCCTGCAGGATCTGACACTACCTCCAGGTAGACGGTGTCAGAATCAAGCTGGAGGACACCCCGCTGGTGCCTGCTGCAGAACTGATAGCTTGTTTGCCGATGGGGAGAAACCCCCACATATTCTGGGGTCACAGAAGTCTTCTGTGTTGTAGTGGGACAGCAGAGGAATGTTAGCTTCAAGTCTTTTTTTCAGCTCACACCCATGAAATGTGGGAATTCTCCATTGTACAAAAGAGGGAAAACGCACATTAGATGTGTGACAATCAAACTTTCAGTACACGCTAAATCTATTGCTAAAGGGACCTCGCTCAACAAACACTTGCATGTATGTCACAAGCCAGGCAAGGGAGAGAGATGAGACCACGTGTAGTTTAACTCTACCTGGACCAGCTGTGAAAACTGAGGCTTAAAGAGTACAAGTGATTTTAATAGGGATACACATGTTTAACAAGCACTGTCAAAATACAATTATTCATCACACAGGGTAAGGTGAGTTGTGTGCAAAAACAACTTTGTGTACATTTAAGTCACTTTTTATTCTATTTTTTAAAAAATTAAAAATATGGCCAGGCATGGTGGTGCCTCATCAGAGGCAGGTGGGTCGCCTGAGGTCAGGAGTTGGAGACCAGCCTAGCCAACGTGGCGAAACCCCGTCTCTACTAAAAATACAAAAATTAGCCAGGCGTGGTGGCGCATGCCTGTAATCCCAGCTACTTGGGAGGCTGAGACAGACGAATCACTTGAACCCAGGAGGCAGAGGCTGCAGTGAGGCGAGATGACAGAGCAAGATTCCATCCCCAGAAAGAAAAAAAAAGAAAAAAGAAAAAATAGAGACAAGTTCTCACTACGGTATTTGGGCTGGTCTCGATCTCCTGAGCTCAAGCAATCCTCTCACCTTGGCCTCCTAAAGTGCTGGGATTACAGGTGTGAGCCACTGCACCTGGCCCTAAGTCACTTTTTTAAAGCAATAATAAAGCTGACTATTTAAAAAACCTTCTCAAGTGAGTCTTTGGTTTAAGGATCTCCAGCTGAAGTAAAAGGCCTCTGCAGCAACCCATCCACATCAGAACACGACACAAGCGGCCCCGCCAGGCCTGGTGTGCACAGATCAGAGGACAAAGAGCTCACCCCTGCCCTACGCAGTCACAGGGCCGAACTCCACCACTGCTGCTTCCAAAACTGATCTTGCCTCCCCCACAGGACAAGCTCCCTCCTCCAGAATATCTTTTGTCTTTTACTACACATTTGCTAATAAATAAGGTTGAATGTTTCCTGAACCGAACAAACACTCCTTTGAGCCAGTCCTACCCTAGAAAACTTCAGATGGACAGGTGGTCAGAACAGGAAAATCAAGTGCCTATGTGGCGGCTCCCCGACCCAAGCACTGTCCCAGGTGCTGGGAACACAACAGCTTCTGCCCTCAGGGGACCTTTAACAAAACACAGACACACCCAAACCTCCTGTCCCAGTCAGTCTCTCTTCCCAGCCCTGAAAGCTGCTCACAGCAGTGACCCCTGGGCAGGCTGCCCAGCGTCTCAGCATCCCCACTCCTCTCTGTATGATGGCTGACCAGCGGACGGCTCCACAAGAAAGCAGGACAGCAGGTACAGGAGGATGCTGGCAGCCTGATGCCCCCCAGGATGGCAGGTTTTTTGGACTTGGCTGAAAGAGTCACGAAAACAGTGTCTTGGGAGCTTCTGCCACACAAAGCCTGCAGGCAGCTTCACACAGCTGGGACTGCGCATGGGTGAGGCACTCTGCACTGGGTGCGGTGTGCCAGTGTGCGTGTGCCTATGTGTGCATGCCACTGTGTGTGTACATGTGTGCTTCTCACAAAGGTGTACACAGATCTGTGCTATTAAGTCTGCAACAGGGGACCTTGCGCTCTCTCCCTGGTTTGTGCCCTCTACTTTACCCACCCAAACACCAGGGAAAGAAACCACTCTGAGGGGGAACTTATGTTGTCCAGAATCAACAGAGCTCAGATCTAAAGCAGAAATACTAAAAACCTGGGGGCAGGAGAAAGAGGAAATACTACTACATGAGCTAAATCAACTTTCCTAAACGGAATCTACAGATTTTATATAAGGTTGTGAAACCACAAACTAAAACAAACAGCACATAATGTAGAGTTATAGAGGTAACCACCAGGAGAAACAGGCAGTTAACCCCCCTCCTCTGTGGGACAGAAACAGAGACAAGTTCCAGCTTCCCATCCACAGCTTGCTTTTAATTGCCCAATTTTCAACACACACACACACAAATACACACACACACACACCAAATACACACATGCACACATTTACAAACACACATGAATACACATTTATACAAACACAAATACACATATATACACACAAATACACGTACAAGCACACATAAACCAAATACACACAAATACACAAATGTACACGCCACACACAAATATACATATACACACATTTACAAACACACATAAATACAAATACACAGATACACAGAAATACACACGTACACAAACACAAATACAACATATATACACAAATATAAACACAAATACAACATATATACACATATACATACATACACATAAACACAAATACATACACACACACAAATACACACATGTACACACACATGCATAAATACAAATATACGCATACACACACACTTTAAAACGAGGGCAGGCCAGCCCCTGAGGAGGGGGAGAAGCATGGAAGGTGATGACAAGAGTGAACTTTGGGGCCAGCACGTGAGGTGGGAATCCAAGTGAGGTGGGAATCCAAGTGCAGCCTTTGACTCATTCTGCTGTGCCTCTGAGCTCCAGCTCCCTCAAAAGGAAAGCCACCAACGGCCGTACAACCTCACGGCATCATGTCTGTGCAAGAGAAGGTAGAGAGGCCAGGCACAGTGACTCACGTCTGCACTTTGGGAGGCTGAGGCGGGCGGATCACCTGAGGTCAGGAGTTCAAGACCAGCCTGGCCAGCATGGTGAAACCTCGTCTCTACTAAAAATACAAAAATTAGCCAGGCATGGTGGCAGGCGCCTGCAATCCCAGCTACTCAGGAAGTTGAGGCAGAAGAATCGCTTGAACCCAGGAGGCGGAGGTTGCAGTGAGCCGAGATCGCGCCATTGCACTACAGCCTGGGCAACAGAGCAAGACTCCATCTCAAAAAAAAAAAAAAAGAGAGAAGGTAGAGAGAAGAGTAGTGTCACGTCTCGGCCAGACCTGAGGACAGGAGAGCCTAAGCAGCCCCAGTATCCACAGAGGGCTGAGCATGATGCAAGAACCAGGGATGGAGTGACCTGGCCCAGCGCCCCTACTGAGCAGAGACGACGCAAAAGCAGGAAAAAGGGGAGGTGCAGGGACAGCAGGCAGACGGAGGCAGACGGAGGCAGACGGAGCCAGGACGGAGCCAGGGACTTCCAACTGCAGCTGCCAGGCAGGCCACTGTGTGAAGACAATGGGGGGGGGGGGCTCTTACGGTAGAAAAGCCACCCAGACCATGCCTCCTCTGACAGTTCAGGAAAACTAATTTCACATAAAAATACGCATTCAGGCTAGGCGCAGTGGCTCACGCCTATAATCCCAGCACTTTGGGAGACTGAGGCAGGTGGATCACTTGAAGTCAGGAGTTTGAGACCAGCCTGGGCAACATGGTGAAATCCTGTCTCTAGTAAAAACACAAAAATTAGCTGGGCATGGTGGCGTGCGCCTGTAATCCCAGCTACTGGGGAAGCTGAAGTGGAAGAATTGCCTGAACCCGAGAGGCAGAGGTTGCAGTGAGCCGAGATCACACCACTGCACTCCAGACTGGGCGACTGGGTGACAGAGAGAGAGGCTGTCTCAAAAACAAGAAAGACAATCCAGCACGACCATGGCTGAGATGACGGATGATGACCTGCAGGCAAGACTGACACATTCAAGTCAACTACCATGTCCCAAATTTACCAAAAACGCTCTAGTAGAAGCTGCATGATCAACGCAGCACCCCTGCAGTCATGACGGACGCAGGTAACAATCTGAGCCCTCCAGTGCCTGTCAGGGGCTCTCCTGTAAAGGAGCAGAGCGTGCTCCTGGCCAGGCACCAATTCGTGCCACTGACACTGCACTGATCTCCATAAGGCAGAGGGCCTCACAGGAGGACTTCAACCACCCCACCGTGCCGGGAACAGATCTAGCAAAAAAATCTTATCTTTTTAGATAAATTAGCTTGAGGAGAAGCGGGGAGGAGCTGAATTCTGAAAGGGTAAAGCATGAGCAAGAGTAACTGACCCACAGCAACAAGCCCAGCCACACAGAGTCTGATCTTTGTTAAAGAGTAACTGACCCACAGCAACAAGCCCAGCCCCACACACAGTCTGATCTTTGTTAAAGAGACGCTGGCCACAGTCATCCTGCACTATTCCTGTCTGAAATGCAGCCAGCCCATCAGCACTAAGGGTACTGTACTTGCATCAGGGAATTCTCGCAGTGAACTTAGGAGCTCTGGTGGCTAATGAGTAACCTGGACATGCCATAGCTACTGGCAAAAGCAAGTTACAATTTGCATTCCATGAAGTAGCAAAGAACACACTCTATAGGGGCAGGCTTGGATAAAAGCTCTTGAATTTTTACAATTATTGTCCCTGGTCATTCTTCAGGAACAGCATGCTGGTTAATGATTTCTTGTTTACAGGCTGAACTAATCAACAGAGAGGATTAGTATTCTGGGAACAGCCCAAGTTCCACAAAAAATAGTAAAGGAGCCTATGACAGATGATTATAAAATACCAAAGTACCAAAATCTTCTGTCCTTGCAATGTGCAGCAAAACTTGGTCTACAGAGTTTTAGTCTGTATATAAAGTGATTTCAGACTGGGCAGTGGCTCACGCCTATAATCCCAGCACCTTGGGAGGCTGAAGTGGGAGGGCTGTTTTGAGTCCAGGAGCTCGAGACCAGCCTAGGCAACATAGGGAGACCTGGTCTCCATAAATAATTTTTTAAAAAATTAGGTGTGGTGGTGCATGCCTGTGGTCCCAGCTACTAGGGAGGCTGAGGTGGGGGGAATCACCTGAGCCCAGGAAGTCAACACTCCAGTGAGCCAGGACAGACATCGCTGTACTCCAGCCTAGGCAACAAGGTGAGACTCTGTCTCAAAGAAATAAAGTGATTCCGCCGAGTAACCCAAAAGCCCAAAATTGACCAAGCCCAAGAATTTTTGAAGGAAGCTATAATTGCTAAAATTACTATTAAGGTGGTTAGCACAGCAGTCAGCCAAGCAAACTCTGAAATCAGGCCTGGACTGGAATGTCACTCCATGTTTTACTAGCTACGTGACCCTGGGCTATCAACTTAACCGCAACCTGCCTCGGTTTCTCTTCTTCAAATGGGTGTGCCATCAATGAAAGAGCTGTGATGAGAAGTGTGAAATAAGGAGCAAAGCACTGGTCCAGCCACGAGAAGCTACTGTGCCCATCACCAGGGATAAACTCACACGTTCTTTTTTTTTTTTTGAGACGGAGTCTCGCCCTGTCACCCAGGCTGGAGTGTGGTGGCACGATCTCGGCTCACTGCAACCTCCACCTCCCAGGTTCAAGCAATTCTCCTGCCTCAGCCTCCCAAGTAGCTGGAATTACAGGCGCCTGCCACTACGCCCAGCTAATTTTTGTATTTTTAGTAGAGGTGGGGTTTCACCATATTGGTCAGGCTGGTCTCAAACTCCTGACCTCAGGTGATCCACCCACCTCGGCCTCCCAAAGTGCTGGAATTACAGCTGGGAGTGCCTGGCCTCATCTTTTTTATTACAGCCATCTGGGTAAGTGTGATGCAGTATCTCATTGTGATTTTGATATGCATTTTTCTGATAGCTTTTATATGCTTATTGAACATTCGTAAATCTATTTGGAAGAAATATATATTTTAATACTTCATCAATTTTTTTTTTTTTTGAGATGCAGTCTCACTCTGTCACCCAGGCTGGAGTACAGTGACATGACCTCGGCTCACTGCAACATCCGCTTCCCAGGTTCAAGTGATTCTTGTGCCTCAGCCTCCCAAGAAGCTGGGATTACAGGTGCACACCACCACACCCAGTTAATTTTTGTATTTTAGTACAGACGGGGTTTCACCATGTTGGCTAGGCTGGTCTTGAACTCCTGACCTCGGGTGATCCACCTACCTCAGCCTCCCAAAATGCTGGGATTACAGGTATGGCCACCACACCCGCAGCCCCTAACACTTCATCAATTTTTTAATTTAGTTGTCTTCATGAAGTTTTTTATATATTCTAAATAACGAGCCCTTTATCAGGTACACGGTTTTCAAATATTTTCTCTCATTCTCAGGTTGCCATTTCACCTTCTAAATAGTATTTTGTAGCACACGTTATGAAGTCCAGATTAACTTTTTTTTTGTCATTTGCACATTTGTTGTCACCTAGGAAATCATATTCCAGACCGGGCACAGTGGCTCACACCTGTAATCCCAGCACTTTGGGAAGCCGAGGCAAGCGAATGGCGTTTGGCCAACACGGCAAAACCCTATCTCTACAAAAAAACACAAAAATTAGCTGGGCATGGTGGTGCAGGCCTGTGGCCCCAGCTACTCAGGAGGCTGAGGCAGAAGAATCTCTTGAACCTGGGAGGTGGAGATTGCAGTGAAACAAGATCACGCCACTGCACTCCAGCCTGGTGACAGAGCGAAACTCTGTCAAAAAAAAAAAAAAAAAACCATATTCCAAAGTCACAGAAACTTACTCCTGTTTTTTTGGTAGGAGTCTCATAGTTTTAGCTCTTACAGTTGGGTTTATGATCCATGGAGTTATTTCTTGTGCATAGTGTAAGGTAGGAGTCCATTTACATACTTTTACATGGAGATTCAGTCATCCCAGCACCATTTGTTTAAGACTATTCTTTTCCCCCACCATTGAATTATCTTGGCACTCCTGCTGAAAATCAATTCACCACAAATGTAAAGGTTTACTTCTGTACTCTCAATATTATTATCTCAGTATCTACGTATCTGTCCTTATACCAGTATTATACTATCTTAATCATTTGTGTATTAAGTTTTGGAATCAGCATGTGAATCCTCCAATCCTGTTCTTTTTTGCATCTATGGAGATGACCAGGCATTTTTTCATCCTTTATGGTATTAATATGAAGTATTACATGGATTGATTTTCAGATGTTAAGCCAACCTTGCATTCCTGGGACAATTCTCACTCGAATCTGGTGTATAAACCTGTTTTTTTTTTTTTCTTTTTTGAGACAGAGTCTCTCTCTGTCACCCAGGCTGGAGTGCAGTGGCGTGATCTCGGCTCACTGCCAACACCGCCTCCCGGGTTCTAGCACTTCTCCTGCCTCAGCCTCCTGAGTAGCTGGGACTATAGGCACATGCCACCACACCCAGCTAATTTTTGTATTTTTAGTAGAGATGGGGTTTCACCATGTTGGCCAGGCTGGTCTCCATCTCCTGACTTCGTGATCCACCCGCCTCGGCCTCCGAAAGTGCTGGGATTACAGGTGTGAGCCACCACTCCCGGCCTGTATAATCCTTTTTATACGTTGTTGCTGGATTCAACTGGCTAGCATTTGGTTGAAGATTCTTGTTTCTATATTCATGATAATGGCCTGTAATTTTCCTTTCTTGTCATGTCTTTGTCTAGTTTTGGTATCAGCATAATACTGGCCTTATAGAATGAGTTAAGTATGCCCTCCTACTTTTCCAAAGAGTTTGTAAAGGACTGGTATTAATTCTTTTCTTGAGACAGAGTCTCTCTCTGTCGCCCAGGCTGGAGTGCAGTGACATGATCTCGGCTCACTGCAACCTCCGCCTCTCGGTTTCAAGCGATTCTCCTGCCTCAGCCTCCCAAGTGGCTGGGACTAAAGGTGCGTGCCACCACACTCATCCAATTTTTGCATTTTTAGTAGAGATGTTGGCCAGGCTGGTCTTGAACTCCTGACCTCAAATGATCACCCACCTCAGCCTCCCAAAGTGCTGGGATTACAGGCATGAGCCACTGCACCCGGCCAGGACTGGTATTAATTCTTTAAGTGTTTGGTAGAACTCAAATAATGACAAGCTCAGTAAGTGTGACTTTTCTAGAGAAGCCACCTGGCCCAGAGCTTATTCTTGTGACAAGATCTTGTTTTTCAGTTTTTGGGTTTTCCTTTGAGATGGAGTTTCGCTCGTTGCCCAGGTTTGAATGCAATGGTGCGATCTTGGCTCACTGCAACCTCTACCTCCTGGGTTCAAGAGATTCTCCTGCCTCAGCCTCCCAAGTAGCTGGGATTACCAGTGTGCACCACCACACTTGGGTAATTTTTATATTTTTTGTAGAGACGGGGTTTCACCAAATTGGCCAGACTGGTCTAGAACTCCTGACCTCAAGTGATCCGAGTGCCTCAGACTCCCAAAGTGCTGGGATTACAGGCATGAGCCACTGCACCCGGCCGTGACAAGTTTTTAAATTATTAATTCAATCTATTTACTTATTATAAGTCTATTTAGGTTTTCTTTTATGGAATGCTTCACAAATTTGTGTGTCATTCTCACACAAGGGCCATGCTAATCTCTGTATTGTTCCAATTTTAGTATATGTGTTGCCAAAGTGAGCAACTATTCAGATTTTCTATTTCTTCTTGAGTTAGCTTCGGTCACGACTTTCTAGGAATTTGTCCATTTCAACTAAGTTATCTAATATTTTGTTACACAATTATTCATGGAATTCTCTTATAATCCTTTTTATTTCTGTAAGGTGAATAATAATCTCCCCTCTCATTCCTGCTTTTAGCAATCTGAGTCTTCTTTTTATCTCAGTCAGTCTCACTAAGTTTGCCAATTTTGATGATCTTTTCAAATAACCAATCTTTGCTCTCATCTTTGCTATTTTCTTCCTTCTTGTTTTAGGTTTTGTTCGTGCTTTTTCTGGTGTCTTAAGGTGAAACACAGGTTAATGATTTGAGATCTTTTTTAATGTAGGTATTTACAGTTATAAACTTCCCCCTCAGCCCTGCTCTCACTGCAGTGTATAATTTTTGGAATGCTGTGTTTTTATTTGCATTTATCTCCAAGTTTTTTTAAGAGACAATGTCTTGCTTTGTCACCCAGGCTGAAGTGCAGGGGCGTGATCATAGTTCATTGCACCTCAAACTCCCAGGCTAAACAATCCTCCTGTCTCAGTCTCCCAAGTAACTGGGACTATAAGGGCACATCTCTGGGCCTGGCTAATTTTTTTTTGTAGAGACGGGGGTCTCACTTTTGTTGCCCAGGCTCTCGAACTCCTGGCTTTAAGAAACCCTCCCACCTTGGTCTCCCAAAAGCGCTGGGATTACAGGCGGCGTGAGCCACTACATCTGGCCTGTCTCCAAGTACGCCACCATGCCCAACTAATTTTTGTATTTTTAGTAGAGATGGGGTTTTGCCATGTTGACCAGGCTGGTCTCGAACTCCCAACCTCAAGTGATCCGCCCACCTCGGCCTCCCAAAGCGCTGGGATTAGAGGTGTGAGCCACCGCGCCCAGCCAACTAGCACCTTAACTTAAAACAATCCAGTTTTGATTAACACAAACCTAATTCTAATGGTACGGAGAAATGTTGCTCCTATAAAGCTCTTCCCTCACTTCTCTTTTGTGCTGTAACTGTCAAATCACACCTTTATATGTTATAAGCCTATCAAAACAGCTTTATAATTATTACTTTGTACAGTTGTCTTTTAAGGCAGATAGGGGCCAAGCGTAATGGCTCACGCCTGCAATCTCAGCTCTTTGGGAAGCCAAGGCAGGTGGATTACCTGAGGTCAGGAGTTCGAGACCAGCCTGACCAACATGGCAAAACCCTGTCTCTACTAAAAATACAAAAATTAGCTGGGCCTGGTGGCGGGAGTCTGTAATCCCAGCTACTCAAAAGGCTAAGGCAGGAGAATCACCTGAGTCCGGGAGGTGGGGGCTGCAGTGAGCCGAGATCGGCGCCACCGCACTCTAGCCTTGGCGACAGAGGGAGACTCCGTCTCAAAAAAAAAAAAAAAAAGAAAAGAAAAAAAGACAGGAGACTAAAAGTTACAAAAGTGCACTTACATTGTCTTTTAACTTGACATATGTAGCTGTCTTCACCGTTGTTCTTTTATTTCTTCACGTATCCTACCACCTAGTGTCCTTTCATTCCAGCCTGAGACATTCCTTTCAGTATGTATTATAAGGGAGGTTGGCTAAAACAACAAATGTCCTCTGTTTATTGTTTACCTGGAAATATCTTAATTTCTTTTTTTTTGAGACAGGATCTTGCTCTGTTCACCCAGGCTGGAGTGCAGTGGCACAATCTTGGCTCACTGCAACCTCCGCCTCCCAGGTTCAAGCAATTCTCGTGACTCAGCCTCCTGAGTAGCTAAATTACAGGCGTTCGCCAACACGCCTGGCTAATTTTTGTATTTTTAGTAGAGACGGGGTTTCACCATGTTGGCCAGACTGGTCTCGAACTCCCGACCTCAGATGATCCACCCACCTTGGCCTCCCAAAGTGCTGGGATTACAGGCATGAGCCACCACACCCAGCCAATTCCTCTATTTTCAAAGGACAGTTTTACTGGACACAGAATTCTCAACTGACAGTCTCTCTTTCAGAAACAGGGTTTTCACACTGAGCTAGCTCATACGATGGCAAGCTCAGTAAGTGGGACAGGTCCGAGAGTGACATGCTCTGCAGCCGGGACTTGCTGAGGAGCTCCAGCCTTCATGTGTCCCCTCCAGTAGCTGCTAGGCTGCTGGCTTTCCCAGCTACCATGGTTATAAGGCAGCTGGTTTCCATGGTTACCACGGAGCTGGGGAGAAGAGAATGGGAGGAGGTTGAGTTAGAGGTGCCACAGTTGTTCACAGATAAAAGCTCCTCAGAGTGTCGCAACCGTTGGTTAATTTCGCGTTCTGACAGTTGATTTTGACCATTTTTGCCAGTGTTTTCACTGCTTTTATGGAGGATTGGATTACAGAGGCCTCACTCCACCATTCCGGCTAAGTGGCATTTCTGATGCAGACTCAAAGCTGTCACGAATGAAGAATGTTTAGCATGCATGCCTCTGTTGATTCTGTTTTCTAAACCTCCACATGTCACTCCTACCTTTCCACTCCAGATCCTCGCCGTCTCCTCTGGACCAAAGCAATCCATCTTTTCCTAACTGGCTTTCCTGCCTCTAAGCCTCACCTAAAACCCATCCTCTATATCCAAAATGACCATTCTTTTCCTTTTCTGTTCTTATTTTTTGTAGAGATAAGGTCTCACTAAGTTGCCCACACTGGTCTTGAACTCCTGAACTCAAGAGATCCTCCAGTTTTGGCCTCCCAAAGTGCTGGGATTACAGACCTCAGCCACCATGCCTGGCCTCAAAATGACTATTCTACCAGCAAAACAGAAAGTGAGGCTGGATGCATTAGCTCATGCCTGTAATCCCAGCACTTTGAGAGGCCGAGGCGGGCGGATCACCTGAGGTCAGGCATTCAAGACCAGCCTGCCCAATGTGGTGAAACCCCATCTCTACTAAAAATACAAAAATTAGCCAGGCGTGGTGGCAGCACTCATAATCCCAGCTACTCGAGAGGCTGAGGCAGGAGAATCGCTTGAACCCAGGAGGTGGAGGTTGCAGTGAGCTGAGATCATACCACTGCACTCCAGCCTGGGTGACGAGAGAGATTCCATCTCAAAAAAATTTTTAAAAATTGAGTGTCATTCCCCTGCTTAAAATACTTAAACAGCCCACATCCTAGACAGGAGGTCCTACCATCTGGTTTTGGCTGCCTCTCCCACCTTGGTCTCCAGCCACATTCCCGTGCCCCACTAGGCCCTACCCACGCTAGGAGTCACCCTCAATGTATCACATGTGTCCTGCTGCTGCTCATGCCTCTCTGCAGCGTGGCACACGGGACTGCCCACCCTTTCCAGACCATCCCCCACATCCCATCAGCCTAGCAAGACCTGAGCCAAGCATCACCCCTGCATTCCATGCCTGACCTCTCCGAAGCTGTTCACCCCTCACACCATTCACCACTCTGCATTACAAAGGCCTGAGCTACTCAAGGATACTCAGTGTTTAGCATTCTAGTAAGAGCCACAGTCTTTATAAAGCTCTAGGAAAGGCCCTACTCCACCTGTCCCCCACCTTCATTCCCCCCAACCTAACCCCCTACTGCCTTTCCACCCAGGATTGCTGTCCTAAAGCCACATGCGCCTCCTGCTGTTTCTTCCGTGCAGCAGTCATCCTCCCCGACAAAGGCCTCTGCACTTACCACTCCCTCTGCCAAGACGCCCTCCCCACTAACTTCTACGTGGCCACTGCCTCACTAGCTCCAGGTCCTTGCTCAACTGCTGCCTTCACAGAAGGGCCGGCCCTGATCATTCTACTTAAAATTGAACACCTATACCCTCATTTACCCAATCACCTTCCCCCCTTAATATCTCTCTGTTGTGTTTATCATCTTCTAACATCTCACCAAATTTCGTGTTTATTTTCGATCTCTATCCACTAGAATGATATTTCTCTGTTGTGTTTATCATCTTCTAACATCCCACTAAACTATGTTTTTCTTTTTGATCTCTGTCCACTAGAATGCAAGCTCCATGTGAACACGGAGTTGTTTTTTCCCTGCCATAGTCCCAGAATCCTGGGAAGTGCCTGGCATTGTAGCAGGCTCTCAATAAATACTTGGTAAGAATAAATGCTCTGCAGACAGCAGGTACCCAGCAATAGCACCACATCTCTGAGTGCTCATAATGCACCAAAAACTGTCCCAAGAGCTTCTGAGCAACACAGCTGGAAAACAACGAGCATTTCCTGAGCGACGGGATCACCAGAGGTGCCATGTCAGTCTCTACAGCATCCTCTCCTTCGGGGCCCCCATCACATCCATCCTGTCGACCTGTCCGCTTTTCCTCCAAACGAGTGCTCTATTCCGGCCATCTCCGCTGCCACCTGCATCTCCAGTCAGACTCCCTTACTCGCGCCATCTCCACTGCCACCTGCATCTCCGGTCGGGACTCTCTTACTCTCGCCATCTCCACTGCCACCTGCATCTCCGGTCGGACTCTCCTATTCTCGCCATCTCCGCTGCCACCTGCGTCTCCGGTCGGGACTCTCTTACTCTCGCCATCTCCGCTGCCACCTGCATCTCCAGTTGGGACTCTCTTACTCTTGCCATCTCCGCTGCCACCTGCATCTCCGGTCGGACTCTCCTATTCTCGCCATCTCCGCTGCCACCTGCGTCTCCGGTCGGGACTCTCTTACTCTTGCCATCTCCGCTGCCACCTGCATCTCCGGTCGGGACTCTCCTATTCTCGCCATCTCCGCTGCCACCTGCATCTCCGGTCGGACTCTCCTATTCTCGCCATCTCCGCTGCCACCTGCATCTCCAGTTGGGACTCTTCGCAGCTTTCACCTTCCACTCACCTCCAACCTACTTTCCACAGAGAAGCTGGCATTAAGGGAGGAGACCACCCCTCACATTGTCTTATTCCCAATTTCTGCCTCCAAAGAAAGAAGAAGCAAAAACTAAAAGGCAGAAATGAAATCCACAAGCAGACAGCCCGGTGCCACACCCTGGGCCTCGTAGTTAAAGATCGACCCCTGACCTAATCAGTTATGTTATCTATAGATTCCAGACATTGTATAGAAAAGCACTGTGAAAATCCCTGTCCCATCCTGTTCCGTTCTAATTACAGGTGCATGCAGCCCCCAGTCACATACCCCCTGCTTGCTCAATCGATCACGACCCTCTCACGTGGACCCTCTTAGAGTTGTGAGCCCTGAAGAGGGACAGGAATTGCTCATTCGGGGAGCTCGGCTGTTGAAGATTTGACTCTTGCCAAAGCTCCCGGCCGAATAAAGCCCTTCTTTAACTCGGTGTCTGAGGGGTTTTGTCTGTGGCTTGTCCTGCTACAGTGTAATATTGTCATATAATTACATCAGACCTGTTACTCACTCGCTTTCCTTTGGCAGCTTCCTACAAGGCACCCAGGATAAAATCAGACTCATGCCGGAGCCTTCAAGGCCCAGCACGTTCTGGCCTCCCCCAGCAATCCGGCTTATGCCAGCTCCTCTCCTCGCTCACTGAGTTCCAACAGTACAGCCTCTCAGGTCCTGAAACACAACTGGCTCTCTACCACCTCAAGCCCTTCTCCCCTCCAGGCTGGGACAAGGCTGGTCCCAGGCAGCTTCAGGACCCAGATGAAATGTCACTTCCGCAGAGAGGTCTTTCAGCAACACTCGACCTAAGGGAGTCCCCTTTTATCATCCACCATGATAAACTGCCTTGGTGTCACACAATATGCCCACATAACAAACCTGCACATTTACCCCCAGAATCTAAAATAAAGGCTGAAATTATTTTTTAAAGTCATCAAAAAATACATGAGAAAAAACATTTCAGTTCAGGGTTTAAACAAATCTCTCTGGAAAATTCAAGTATCCAAACTCCCCTGGACTCACCCATCATTACCAATAACAGAATCTACTGACTAAACTACTGAGATAAATTTCCATTTACTATATTCTATTACCAGCAAGAAACAAAGGTCAGTCGGTCAAAGGCCCCATGCCTTTCCTTTGATTTCTAGGTTTCAGAGCACTACAGACTAATCCCATACGTAGGTTTGCAAAGTACATACCACACCGTTCATTCCCTTGAATGGGGAACAAGGTCCTTCCTACTTGCTTACTTCAGACAAGGAATAAATGCCGAGTCACCATTCTATTTAAAATTCCACTGAGAAATACATGCCACACAAGCTCTCAGAACCACCTGCCCAAATTTGATTTACTAAAAGGTCAGGTATTGCTAAGCGCGGTGGCTCACGCCTGTAATCCCAGCACTTTGGGAAGCCGAGGCGGGCAGATCACGAGGTCAGGAGATCGAGACCATCCTGGCTAACAGGGTGAAACCCCCCTCTCTACTAAAAATACAAAAAATTAGCCGGGCATGGTGGTGGGCGCCTGTAGTCCCAGCTACTCAGGAGGCTGAGGCAGGAGAATGGAGTGAACCTGGGAGGCGGAGGTTGCAGTGAGCCAAGATCACGCTACTGCACTCCAGCCTGGGTGACAGAGCGAGACTCCATCTCAAATATAAATAGATAAAAAATAAAAGGTCAGGTATTACTACTTCATTTAAGCATGAGAGGCCGGGCATGGTGGTTCATGCTTGTAATCCCACCACTTTGGGAGGCCAAGGCCACCAGATCACTTGAGATCAGGAGTTCAACACCAGCCTAGCCACATGGCAAAACCCCATGTCTACTAAAAATACAAAAATTAGCCGGGCGTGGTGGTGCATGCCTGTAGTCCCAGCTACTTGGGAGGCTGAGGTGGGAGAATCGCTTGAACCTGGGAGTCAGAGATTGCAGTGAGCCGAGATCACGCCACTGCACTCCAGCCTGGGCAACAGAGTGAGACTCCATCTCAAAAAAAAAAAAGAATAAGAAAGCAGCCAGCCACAGTGGCTCATGCCTGTAACCCCAGCACTTTGGGAGGCTGAGACAAGAGAATCACTTGAGGCCAGGAGTTCAGGACCAGCCTGGGCAACATAGTAAGACCCCATCTCTAAAAAAAATAAAAATTACATAAAGTCAAATTATTCCTCCCCAAAGCCTTCTCTCAGGCAGTGATAAATCAAGAATATATCAGAAGTCATAAATGGGGGCCGGGGCATGTGTGTAGAAACAATCAGTCATCAAGGACAATAGAGTTATCACAATCCTGGACATTGCCAAGCAATGGTCAAGCAGTAACTGACTCAGCCAAGGAGAGCAAGCTGCACCCCAGCTACCTGCAGGAGGGAAGACAAATTAAGAAGCAAACCGTCTCGAACAGAGAACCCGAAAAGGCTTGGGAATGAAAGGAACCTCAGGAGACCGATGTCAGGAGGATGGGCTTCAAGTCTATACAGAGAGCAGCAGATCCCTGCCATGAGACCCTGCAGCCAGGCAGGCCCCTCGGCCCCCATCTCAGAAAAAGACAAGCTGGAAAAGTGAGAACACAAAAGCTCCGAGCTCCACGGAGTGTGGAGCAAGGGGCCTCGTGAGAGCAGCACAGCGCAGTGACAGACTCCCCGAGGGGTGAGATGCCCCATCCCAGAATGATGGCAGCCGGGCTCACAACACCCACCTGCTCACCAAGCAAGAGAAGAGAGTCGAGAGTCCTCTGGAAGAACTGAACCAGCATTCAGGCTCCTCCTCAGACCTCACCCTGCAGCGAAGGCCCCTGCCAAAGCCCTTCAGGTTGGCAGGCACTGGTACACATGGGTGGACAGCCACCAGCCACCAAGCACAAAGTGAGAGCTCAGAACCTCACAGCATGGGCCAGAGACCAAACAAACCTACACAAAAGGCATTCAAAGCAATGAGACAATGCACAGAAGGAAACGCCAAAGGAAACACCTTTACACAGACGAGATAAAATACAGCTTAAAGAAACAGATGCCACCAAAAAAGGGGCACTTGGGTCATGAGAAAGCTCTCAAGCTATAAAACTGACAGCAGAAATTAAAAATGCAAAACAAGGGCTAGAGGACAAACTTGAGAGTCGTGGAAACAGAACGCGAAAGGCAGAAAGGCAGGAAAATCTACACCAGGAGGTATAATTTCAACTACCATAGAGAAATACAGAGAAAAGAGAAAGTGAAATGAAACAGAAGAGGTTAGCAACAAAATACAACAAGAATATTTTCCACTAGAGCCCAAAAGACATAAGTTTCCAGATTGAATAAGGCCACCAAATGCCACACTTGGGCACATCGTCTTAAAATTTCAGACACGGGCCGGCGCAGTGGCTCACGGCTGTAATCCCAGCACTTTGGGAGGCCAAGGCGGGTGGATCACTTAAGGTCAGGAGTTCAAGACCAGCCTGGCCAACATGGCGAAACCCCGTCTCTACAAAAAACACAAAAATTAACCAGACAGGTGGCACACACCTGTAGTTCCAGCTACTCTGGAGGCTGAGGCAGGAGAATCGCTTGAACCCGGCAGAAGAGGTTACAGTGAGCCGAGATCGCGCCACTGCACTACAGCCTGGGTGACAGAGTGAAACTCTGTCTCAAAAAAAAAAAAAAAAAAAAAAGTAAGCAAAACAAAAGGCAATCATTAACTTTCAAAAAAATTAAAAACTGACCCAAAAGTTGAACTGTTATTCTCGGCTGAGAACAGTACTTTCAGACATGAAATAGACATTAATCAGGTAAAATATTACACATATACAAGTACAGGAGAAGAGAAACTTGAGCAAGAGTTAAAAGACTCATCTTCTAGAGTAAGGCATCAATAAACAGGCCAGGCACGGTGGCTCACGCCTGTAATCCCAGCACTTTGGGAGGCCGAGGAGGGCAGATCAGTTGAGGTCAGGGGTTCAAAACCAGCCTGGTCAACATGGTGAAACTCCGTCTCTAATAAAAATACAAAAAATTAGCCGGGAGTGTGGCAGGCTCCTGTAAGCCCAGCTACTCGGGAGGCTGAGGCAGGAGAATCACTTGAACCTGAGAGGCAGAGGTTGCAGTGAGCCGAGATCCCACCACTGTACTCCAGCCTGGGCAACAGAGCGAAACCCCGTCTCAAAAAAAGTCAATAAGTAATGACTAAATGGGGGAAAGAACACCCATAAATAGTAGGAACACACAATTTAGACTTAAAAAGCAATCATTCTTAAAGTAAATTTTTAAGAAGAAACAGCTATAAAATGAAAATAATTCACTCAGGTTTAGAAATGTGGGCAAGGCAGGGGCAATGTTTTATAATTAACTTCTTAAACCTTTTTTTTTTTTTTTTTTTGAGACAGAGTCTTGCTGTCACCAGGCTGGAGTGCAATGGTGCGATCTCGGCTCACTGCAACCTCCACCTCCCGGGTTCGAGTGATTCTGCTGCCTCAGCCTCCCAAGTAGCTGGGATTACAGGTGCCCAGCACCACACTCAGGGAATTTTTTTATATTTTTAGTAGAGACAGGGTTTCATATTGGCCAGGCTGGTCTCAAACTCCTGACCTCGTGATCCACCCGCCTCGGCCTCCCAAAGTGCTAGGATTACAGGCGTGAGCCACCGCACCTGGCCTTAAACTACATTCTTTAACTTTTTTAATCTTTTAAAACATTTAAGTAAGGACAAGCCTAGACAAGAAAGTCACAAGAATAAACGCTATTAGGAAGACCTGCCCAGTTACTTCCTAATAACTAAAAATAAACATATCAACATTTTCATAGAACAGACTAGAAAGCACAGAAGGAGTCTGTAAAAACATACAAACATTTGGGCCGGGCACAGCGGCTCATGCCTGTAATCCCAGCATTTCAGGAGGCCAAGGCGGGCAGATGACGAGGTCAGGAGATGGAGACCATCCTGGTTAACACGGTGAAACCCCGTCTCTACTAAAAATACCAAAAATTAGCCAGGCGTGGTGGCGGGCACCTGTAGTCCCAGCTACTCGAGAGGCTGAGGCAGGAGAATGGCGTGAACCCGGGAGGCAGAGCTTGCAGTGAGCCAAGATCGCGCCACTGCACTCCAGCCTGGGGGACAGAGTGAGACTCTGTCTCAAAAAAAAAAAAAAACATACAAACATTTGAGAATACAGTTGACGATGCATTGCAAGGAGAAAAAAGCATTACCTCATAAATGTTCTAGAACATATTTGGTAATCGATGCGAGGAATGATGGAGACCCATCTCACAAGAAAATAAACTACAAGGGGTTAACGGGATAAACATAATTTCAAAAGCTTTAAAACCTCAGTATCGTATAGGGGTTTGGTGGGGACTTCAGGCGATGGGAGAAGCCACAGGGAGGGTCGGTGTAGCCAAGGCAGCATCTGTAAGGAAAGGCTGGCCTTCGTGCGGCACCAGCCGGCACACAGGCGACCCAGGTGAGAGGCCCCAACAGAGGGTCTGTCACCATCATAAAGCAACACCCCAGTGACTCATCAAATGCAAAGGGGCACAGAGAAGTCACAGGAAAGACAAACCAATAAGCATGCGTTTTGTTTCTTGTTTTTAAATGAGACTGCTCCCTCCAGGCAGAAGCATAACCTGGCTGCCTGGTGCTCCAGGCAATCAGAGGCAGAAAGGTGGCAGGCAGGCATCTCAGGGGCAAACCGACACAGTTCAAGCTCCAGCTCCACCTCTCGGGAGCTCCGGGACTTAGGCTAACTGACAACCTCTCCACGCCACAGTTTCCTTATCTGTAAATAAGTATAGACAGTCTCCAATTTGTGATGGTGAAGCTGAACGATTTTTTGACTTTACAATGGCATGAAAGCAACACGCACTCAGTAGAAATCGTACATCAAGTGCCCAATCACCTTGTTTTCCACTTTCATACAGTATTCAATAAATTACATGAGATATTCAATCCTTTTTTATACATAGGGTTTGTGTTAGATGGTTTTGCCCAACTGTAGGCTAATGTGAATTTGGTGGTGGTGTTTTGAGACAGGGTCTCATCCTGTCGCCCAGGCTGCGCAATGGCGCAAACGTGGCTCGCTGCAGCCTCAACCTCCTAGGCTCAAGAGATCCTCCCACCTCAGCCTCCCAAAGTGCTGGAATTACAGGCATGAACCACCTTGCCTGGCCCCAAAAGTGAACTTTTAAAAGATACTGTTCAAAGTGTGCTTTGAGAAGATGGCAGAGATCTGACATGCGCTCACGGCACTGAAGGCCTCTTTCTGGAGACGGACAATGGTGTTGCGCTGTGGTCAGTGGTAAATAACAATAGGCTGGGCACGGTGGCGCACACCTGTAATCCCAGCACTTTGGGAGGCCGAAGCGGGCGGATC